>NC_000002.12:29353874-29506624 GCF_000001405.40 Homo sapiens | reverse complement strand
ACAGGCACCCACCACCAGGCCTGGCTAATTTTTTGTATTTTTAGTAAAGATGGGGTTTCACCGTGTTGGCCAGGATGGTCTCAATCTCCCGACCTCATGATCCACCCGCCTCGGCCTCCCAAAGTGCTGGGATTACAGACATGAGCCAATCCTGCTCAACTTCTAAAGCTAAGTCTCATATTTTCTAAAAAGTGCAAAGCATTATCCCCTGATGAGCTCACCCTGTTTATACCTGATCATGAGTGTCTCATTCTCTAATCGCCTTCTATTACCCCACTAGAGATCATATTCTATGCTCCTTGGCTTGATCTAGCAGTAAAAAGCAATTGGTATTTGTTGTAGCTTGTTTGATAGAATAATATAAAGAAAAGCAAGAACCATGCAGAATTGGAAAAAGGGATTAAATGCCCAAAGTTTGATCCCTGATCTGAGAACTCTGTACAAGGGCAAAGGAAATCAAGTCCTCTTGCCACCAGAAAACTATCTCTCGCAGAGACTTACGTAGAGCCTCTGTACCCACCTAGTCAGCCGTTCCTTCCTGGCCACAGTTACCTAGGGGATCACTGGCCCTAAAGATCATCGGGTGAGGTGAGATGCCTCTCAGAAAAAAACTGGCTCTGGAAGAGCTAGCCGCAAATCTGTAGCAAACCTGAACTCATTATTTCGGGGGATTGCTGCACGAGTCCATGTGGGTTTTATTACAATATATGCAGCCACTTACATTATGTCAGGCCTGAGTTTTCTTCTATATTCATTCACCCCATGAATGGATGTTGCTGACTGCTGAACCAAACCAAACTGACTTTTTTTTTTTTTTTCAATTAGTGTAGCTGCCTTAGATTATGGAAAGAGCTGAATGGTGCTGGTGTTGGCCTTTTAGAATGGTGATTTCTCTGCCATTCCATGAATTATCTGATGTGGCTGCCCTGGGCTGCCCTGCACCCATTTATTGGTATGAAGCAAGTGCCTGAAGCCTACAGCCACTGTAAACAGGGCCTGGGACAACCAGGAGCCCAGTTTCAGGGTCCTTTCAACCTCTTCCACCCACAACAAGGTTTCAGTCATCTCAGGAGTGCCTGGCCTAACGTAGAACTCCCCCTAAGCTCCCCAGAACCTGATGGAACCAGGAGTGCTGGCAGAAGGAGATATTCAGGACATCTAGTACGACTTCCACCTGGCATTTGAAGCCCCTGCCAAGTACTTATCAGTCCACTTGAACTTCTCTTGTAACAGGAAGCTCACCGCCCCCAAAGATAGTTCAATCATCTTGAGATAGCACATTCACTCAGGCACCATTGATGACCCAACAGTCTACACAGCAGCAGGTCCCTGGACCCCCTTCCCCTCCCCCAGAGGCATGCTGGGGGCTGTGTGGCTCCCAGGCAACCCATCAGGGTGTCCCACCCAGTAGAGAATTCACAGCCTTCTCACCTGAGAACCCAGAGCAGGCTGGCTGCTCCACTGAGAGCCCAAAGGCTATCAATTTACTCTCAGCCCATCTTGCCTCCCTCACCCTGGTCCAATTACTAATGCCTCCCAGATAATAACTGCATTTTCCTTCACAATCCTAACCACACTGGACCTTGGAGTGACCACAGGCCACAAGTAGTCTGGGGTCTCTGCCCCACCTCCAGCCCTCATCCTTGCTTGCTCACTGTCACAGTCACCCTGGACTCACCCCATGCCTCCAGGCTCCTTGCCTCCCCCTCTCTACCCAGCCGTCAAAGTGGCCTTCTATTAGGATGGTGCAAAGGTAATTGTGGTTTTTCCCGTTGGAAGTAATGGCAAAAACCGCAATAACATTTGGACCAACCTAATAAAATGCCAGCTTGACTGTGTTATTCTTCTGCTTAGCATCAGTCACTGGCTCCCTATCTGCTATGGGATCAAGTCCAGCCTTGCTGATGAGCCTCGAGGTCTCTCTCATTTCTCCATTTTACTCCACCCTTCACTGCCTCTCTCCTTGTTCAAGCATTACCCAAGGCTGCGATTCTTCCTCATCTCCTCTTCACTCTTCACCCCATATCCCCCATGAGAGCAAACCCTGTCAATTCCATCTCCAAAATATACACTTACCCACTTGCCCCTCCCTCCTACCATCCTAGCCCAAGCCACCATAATCTCTCACCTGGTCAACTGATACAGCAGTACCTCCTGACTGGCCTTTCTAGCTCCACTTTTGCTCCCTTCTTTCTCTGCACAGCAGCCAGCATAATAAACATCAAAAATGTAGATCAAGTTATGCCAGCAGGCCACCTCACTATAAAACCTTTGCATGGCTTCCCATTGGTCTCAGAAAAAAATCTCAGCCTAAAGCCCTGTGTGACCTGGCTCTGCCCACCTCTCTGACCTTCTCTCACACAGCGTCCCCACACTGGCTGCCCATCTGTTTCTCCTGGCCACTGGCCCTTTGTACTCACTGCTCCCTAGCATGCAACACCTTCCCTTGGCTCTATACTGTCACCTCCCACTCATCCTTTGGAGCTCAGCTGGAAAACCACCACCTCAGGAATTCCCACTGTGATCTGTGTTTTCCTCTGTCTCAGTGTTGTGTTTAGCTCCTTTTAGCACCACCAACAACTGGTAATTAATTAATATATTTGGTTCCTTGTTTATTGTCCAAATCACCTCACTATTAGGTTGGTGCAAAAGTAATTGCAGTTTTTGCCACTGAAAGTAATGGTAAAAACCACAATTACTTTTGCACCAACCTATAGAAAGAAAGCTCCATGAGGGCAAGAACTTTATGGATCTCATTATATCCACAGTAACACAGCACTAAACACCATTCATAGCACTTAGTAGAAGCTCGATAAATTTTGTTAATTTAATGCCAAATAAATCCAGCCCCTGCTGCTTCTCCAGTGTTCCTTCTGCCACGCCTCACCCCATGCCCACATCCCAGCCATGTTGCCTGGGATTCCTGAAGATGCAGCTGTTTTAGGTCTCTGCCTTCACTCATGCCCCTGGGCTGGGATTCTTAAGCCAGAAAACTCCACTGATGGAAATGTTACCTCCTCTCTAAAGCATTTCCAGGTTCCCCAAGCAAAGTCATTTGCCCAGATCTCTATGTGCCATGGTACGGTGCCCATGCATTGTTCTTTCTCTTGGAAACTTGGTTGTAATGATGCTTTTTCATATCTGTATCCTCTGTGAGATCTAATTTCCCTGATGAAAGATATCACGGCTTTTCCATCTCCACCAACCTTCACTCATAATCAAATACAGAACCTGGAGCATATTAGTTGTTCAACAAACATTTGTTGAAATGATGAATGAATTAAGTGGAAGAGCAGTCCCTGGATATAAATCCAATAGACCAGATCCCTAATCCCAGCTCCCTGGTAACCTGAGTGACCCGTAATACCACTTGTGTCTCAGTTTCTTCAACTGTAAAATGGGAATCATAATTTGTTACCTATCTATCTCATAAGTCAGTTTAAGATGAAAATAAAATAGTAAATACCAAAATAGTTTGAAAACTATAAATTCATTCATTTAAACAATATCTATTAAGTCCTTACTCAGTGCTGAGGCACTTGAGTTACAACTGCGAAGACATCATCCCTTGAAGAGTTCCACGTCTTCATACTGGCATATGATTACTAGTTAGTTGCCCACCCTGCATAAAGACAATCTACCCTGAACTGTCTTAGTTCTTGGTCTGCAGCATCTTTGCATTAATCTTTTGCTTTTGGATTCACTGCATACCTGTTTACTCTAGTTTTACTGGAGGTCTCTGCATGCATTCCAGCTGTAATCACGGCTGAATGATTCCCTCACCAATCCTGGTTCCACTTCAAGAAAACTGTCAGCAGTACACACAGCACCCAGCCCATCCATCTGTGTAAAGAGATAATGTAATTCTAAGCCAATATTTAACATTGTAGGATGAGGCATAAACTCAATATGCTTTCAGGCGGAGTAAAAAAAAAATATGTGCCCCATCTCATTAATCACAATAAGAATGAGGGATGGGGCAGATACCCAGGCCGGTGCTGTTCCTCCAAGTTAATCTGTCTTAATACCAAGCCCTTGATAAAAAGAATGCCTGAGTCATTGTTCTGCTTGTTTGATGGCAATTTACATTGGGGGAGCTCAAGATTTATGAAGTAACAAGAACCTCTGAGTAATAAAACGTTGAGTGATCCATGCTCTGTTTGGAAGTCACTTCTACTGCAAACACTCTCTGGGGATGAAACTTCAAGAGAAGGATTTCAAGAGAAGTTATGCATTTACAAAACTGATCTTTTACAAGTGCTTATTGGGTTCATTCATTCATCCATTCATTCAGCAAATCTTAACTATGCATTAACTCTGTACAAAGCTCTGTTAGGGGTTTGGGGACCACCAAAGAAGCCAGCAATGGTCTGTACCCTCAAGGGACTCGCATTAGAGAAGTTGTGACTCAAATTCGTTACTAAGGGTGCTGCATGGACTATATGCTTCGCAAGAGCAGGGATGATGCCTGTTTTATTCTCCAGCGTGTACCTGTGCCTATTACAGGACCTGGCAAAGAGGAGCTCATTAAAAATTTGTTAAATGGTAAGTGTCCATCAAGAGATAAATGGATAAACAAAATGTGGTACAATGGAATATTATTCAACCTTGGAAAGGAAGGAAATTCTGACACCTGCTACAATGTGTGTGAACCTTGAAGACATTATGCTAACCAGACACATAAAGACAAATACTATACAATTCCACTCATGTGAGGCACCATATGGACAGAAAGTAGAATGGTAGCTACCCAGGGCTGGGAGTAGGAGGGAATGGGGAGTGACTGCTTAACTGGTACGAAGTTTCAATTTTGCAAAACGAGAAATGTTCTAGAGATGGATGGCAGTGATCATTGCACCACAGTGCAAATGAACTTCATGCCACTAAACTGTATACTTTAAATGGTTGAGCTGGTATATTTTATGTTATGGATATTTTACCACAATAAAAAAAAATGTTTTCAAAAGGGCTAGCAAGAAATCCAGAGAGAGCTTGAGGCAAGGGATGAAATGGAGCTTTCCACAGAGATGAGGCTATTGAGGGGAACCTGTACTTTCCCCCGGAAGGAGGAAGAAGAGGACATGAAGCAGTGCTAAGGACACCCCCTGGGCATCCTCCAAAGAAAGGAGGCCACGGGAAGAGTGGTGAGAATTTGCAGGAGCAGCAAACCAGTAAGGACATGGAAATGAAGCGTCGGAGAGTTTCAAGGACAGTTCTTTCAAGGATTTCAGCAGTGTGCAAAGGCCTTTGGCTTTGACAAGTAAGAGGTAACAGATGACCTCTGGTAGAGCATCTCCAGAGAATTGTCGGCATGGAAGTGAGGCTCACAGGATGAATGCCAAGTAAATGAGGAATAAGACATTGACATTCAGTAGTGAAGGAAGGGGAATGATGGTGGGGACTTGAAAGAATCAGTGGAGAGGACAGAAGGAAGACTTAGCAAGGGACAGAGGGACTGAAGAGATGTTCTAGAAGGATCCAGAAGGGCTTGGAAGGATGAGCTGGGGGAGTTCTTCTCCCCATGCATCAGAGGTCAGTATAAGAAGATGAGAGAAGAGAGGTGTCAGGAAAAAGCAAGGGGAAGAAGAGGGTATTTAAGGGCTCCTGGGGGACAGCCCAGTCTCCCTTCTCAGCAATGCAGGAAGCAAGACCAAGTGCTGATAGTGGGAAGACAAGAATATGCCAGAAAGGAGGTGGGGAGTTGGGGACTGGGGTTGTGTCAATGTGGTAGGGAGCAAATCAGAGATGAGCAAAGCATTAGATCCAGCTGAGACCAGAGCCCCTGTGTATGCAAGGATCCCAGAAAGCCTGGAGAAATGGCAGCATTGGGCTCCTGGTAGCCTGAAGGAGAAGAGCGAAGGGAAGATTTAACCAGCTGGGGATGGATGAGACAGGGTCAGCACAGGCCAGAGGAACATGCTTCTCTAGGGTAGGCAAGACCATGGATGGCGCTGATGTCCATGAAGTTCCTGGATGACAAGGAAAGCAGGGAGCAGGGAGGAGGTGAAGTCAGGGACTAGAGCACATGATGAGGATAAAGGGATGGTTCCAGAAAAAAAAAGAAGAGGCTAGACCAGGTAGAAGAAAAAGAATAGGTGGCCATTGTATTAGTTCTGAGATTAGGTAATTTATAAAGGAAAGAGGTTTAATTAGGTCATGGTTCTGCAGGCTGCACAGGAAGTATAGTAGCTTCCACTTGGCTTCTCAGGAGGCCTGAGGAAACTTAGAATCATGGCTGAAGACAGAGGGGGAGCAGGCATCTTACACGGTGGAGCAAGAGCAAGAGCGGTAGCAGGGACGTGCCACACACTTTTAAACAACCAAACTTTGTGATAACTCACTCACTCACTATCACAAGAACAGTACCGAGGGGATGGTGCGAAACCTTTCATGAGGATTCCACCCCCATGATCCAGTTGCCTCCCACCAGGTCCCACCTCCAACACTGGGTATTACAATTCCACATGAGATTTGGGTGGGGGACACAGATCCAAACCATATCAGCCATCAAGGAACTCTGGGATCGGAAATCATGGCCAAGGAGCCACTGTGGGGAAGGAGCCATGTTGAGGAGCCGTGTTGAGGAGGAGTGGGCACCATCCAACCTTAAGGAACAGCGAGACCCAAGTGTATGGGGGTGTCACAATGTCCCCAGTGTTGGTGACTGGGTGATGAGATGGGGACAAGTGTTCCATGAATAAGAAAAGCAACCACTGGGGAGGGAAGAACAGGGGAAGGAGAGGGGAAGGTATACTTGGCTGGCAAGGGTGACAAGAGAAAGGGCCTGCTGAAGCTGGAGTCAGATCTATGGCTAGGAAGACACCTGGAGGCACCGCAAGACTCAATCAGTCAGGAAGACATGGGCTGGCAGCAGAGGGAACTCCATGCAAGGTGGTTCACGGTGGTGAAAATGAGTCCACCCGGGGAGAAATGAGGGTTGGAAGAGGAGAGCTGGGGTTTGGATTTTCAGCCTGAGCAATAATGATGAACAATCTGATAAAGAGGTTGGCTGGAGGGAGGCGAGAGGGTCTAGAGAGTGGAACCAGGGAGATGTGTGGGAGAAAAGTATCTGAACTTCGAGTATTTGTAAAACTAGTCAGCCCTCAACCTGAACGTAGAAGACCCTAGGAGCCGGGTGCAGTGGCTCATACCTGTAATCCCAACACTTTGGGAGGCCAAGGCAGGTGGATCACTTGAGGCCAGGGGTTCAAAACCAACCTGACCAAAGTGATGAAACCTTGTTTACTAAAAATACAAAAAATTAACTGGGCATGGTGGTGCACACCTGTAATTCCAGCTACTTGGGAGGCTGAGGCAGGAGAATCACTTGAACCTGAGAGGCAGAGGTTACAGTGAGCCGAGACCACACCATTGAACTCCAGCCTGGGTAACAGCAAGACCCTGTCTCAAAAAAAAAGGAGACCCTGGAGAAGGACCCTCAAGAAATACTCAGATGTTGGATTCTCAAATGCCACAAAACCGGGGTGAGGAACGTATATCTTGGGAATGGAGAACTCCTGCCTTCTAATTTGTAGGACTGCCAGGCAGGCCACCACAGGTCTCATTCCAACTACCACCAGCCAGCTTCATGAACTTAACTAACAAGCCTTTTCTTTTTGATGGGGAGGAGAAGTTTACTCTGAGTCTTGGACTCCTTTTCTGCAAAATGGGAGTGTTTGGAGTAGGTGATCTTCTAGCTTCCAAATGCTATACTCCTGTGAATCTGCGTCCTTGGCTTTTTCATGCCACCGTCTCTGACTGTGCTCAATTATAGTGATGATCCAACTCCACACTCTCCTCACTAGTGCGATGAATAGACACTCATTAGGAAAAAGTGAAAGCCCTTGGTTGAATAATAATGTCATTACATACTTATCTCAATCAGGGCGGCTGTGAGCACAAACAGCTTCTTCCTGTAAATTAGAAAAAGCCCCTCTGCTCTTGGCAGACAAATGAGCAAATGAGCAAAGATGCATAAGCAAAAGGCCATGGCTTGGCAAGTGGAGCCCCGCTCCATTGGGGCCCCTCTGCTCCCCTCAGCAGAATGTTCCAGAGCAGGCCCAACCTGTACAACTGCACCCAAGACCCTGATTTCAACCCTCAAGACAATAGACATGGCACTGATGGTGGCTCCATTACTCCCATTTTACGGATGAGGTCGACACAGAGAAAGCATCAGTAATTTCCTCTATATCTCATAGGCCCTCCACCCACATACCAAGACCCTACAGGCTTTAGATTTTGAAAAAAAAAATCACAGTTCAAAATTTTATTGTTTCATTTTTGCATATTTATCATCAATAAGTGTATTTCCTTGCCTAAGTAGCCTGACAAATAATGAAGGATATCTCCCAACCTCCTCCCCCAAACCCAGTCACTGTGCCTCCCTTTCAATTTTTTAGGTCATATTTGGGCATTAATCATATCACCCACAGTCAAAATGCCATCTCATCTGGAAGGAATAGAGCTGCAATATTGGGAGAGCATAGAATAAATACTGAGACTCATAATTCTTTATCATCCTCTCAGCTCCCATGTGCACTTACTGAAATGCATTTGGCCAAATGAGAGTGGGGGAGAGGAAGAAATGAATCCTAATGAAGTTAGTAGTAATGGCATTAGAAATTGTATTTTGACTTCTACTATTATTACTTATTATAAGTAATAGTATTATAACAATATCAGGAGTTCTCAATTAGTTTTGTATCTTTTGGACTTAAGAAAGAAAAGAATTTAAATTTACTTTTTGGACCAGGAGAGCAATAATCATTTCATGACTATATTCATTTTCTTAGCCTCATATGAAGAAGGTGACCAGGGACTAGTTATAACAAATGATCATGCCTTATTTTTCAAGGCACCCTACATGACCGAAACAATATGATTTGTTGAGTTCCCATGTGAGCAGAATATTGAACCTAAAAGGAAGAAAAAGATTCTGTCTTCAAGGGATTTGCCCTCTTGATAGGAATGCAGCGCCTGGACACACAAAAGAATTATAATGAGTTTTGCAGACATTTACAAATTACCATTGAGTGCTGATTAGCAGCAACAGAGCATGGGTCTGTGTGGAGTTTAGAGAGGAGAGGAGGAAAGAGAGTGAGCTGAGGTCAGTGGGGATGTGTGTGCTGCTGGGAGCCCTGGTGCACTCAGTAGCAAGCACCATGCTGACCTAGACCAAGGTTCTGTTTCTATTTGAGCAATGAATTGAGGCTGAGCATAGGCCGGTGGTAGGGAGGGAGCCAGGTATTGCCAACCAAGGGAGTGGTACGCAGACCTGGAGAACATTCACAGGGCTCTGGTGGCAGAGCCTGTGATGACCACAATCATCAGATTTTTTTTTTTCTTTTTTGAGATGGAGTTTCACTCTTGTTGCCCAGGCAGGAGTGCAGTGGCACTATTTCGGCTCACTGCAACCTCCGTCTCCCAGGTTCAAGCGATTCTCCTGCCTCATCCTCCCTAGTAGCTGAGATTACAGGCGCCCACCACCATGCCTGGATAATTTTCATATTTTTTAGTAGAGACGGGGTTTCACCATGTTGACTAGGCTGGTCTCGAACTCCTCACCTCAGGTGATAAACCCGCCTCAGCCACCCAAAGTGCTGGGATTACAGGCGTGAGCCACCATGCCTGGCCTCATCAGGATTTTAAGATGGTGAATCTATAGTGCCCGGAATGTGATGATGATTGTGGTCATTGTTCCAGGTGCTGTGGATTCACTATCCTGAAATCCTTACAACAACCTTTTTGAGCAGTGACAGCAAATGGATATCAGCCAGTATGCCAGCCCCATTTGGTTGGCAATGGTTGCTTGGCACATGGTGTAAGTTGCATCCAGACTTGAGGAAGGGAGCCATGGTGGCTACTGGGGTCTTCCATGGGCAAAGTGTGGTGGTGTACATGGCAAATATTTGTCATCTCTATTCTAAGAGATTTCCCTTGATTAGATTATACAACCTGAAGTAAGTGATTTTCATAAACTTATATATGATTGCTTTATTATGAAGCTAGGAGAAGGTCATATTAGAAAAAGTTATCTCTTCCTCAAGGCATTTTTTTTTATTTATTGTAAAATTGTCATAATATACTAAGTTTAACAAAGCCAGCCACTCTACTACTATCCTCTGGAAAACTGTCATTAAAAAACATAAAGATCTATAGCAGTGATGATGCAAATACCTTAGATGTGGCATCCTGTGCAGGACACAGCCTGCACTGCCATATGCAGTGACCCTGAACCAAGTGTGAATCTAGTTTGTCTGTATTAGTTCCACGAGCCCACACTGCCTGATGAAAAAGTGAGTGAGTTGTGGAGGAAAGGCAGTACATTTTTATAAGACCTTAACATTTTGACAAATAAGCTTGGATCTGATGTAATAAACAATGAGCAAAAAAGCTGTTTATAAGCATATGCTATCCTACATTCAGATATTTATAGATTGAATAGCTATAATCTTTTGCATTTTATAAAGAACATTACAGTGTTTAAAAATACCTCAGATAAGTTATTTCATTTGATCCCTACATGGCTATAGTCTATTCCTGAGCAGAGAACTGACATGGGAAAAAGGCGGCCGCAAAGGGAGGGGGATCTCAACATAGGAGTTCTGTAAAACGTTCCTCTTTTAGAAAGGAAATGTGAGGTTGTGCTCTTTTCCTCAACTAGGTTAGGATTCTCTTAACTGAAACTGAAATGTGCATTTCATTGTTTAATTTATCAGCATCTCAAGTAGACTTGCTAAATCATAGCTCCATTCATTGGATGTGCCAGCATAATTAATTACACTGAAACCTCCTGACAGCATCTTCCAGGGACCAAGAAGAAAAGACGAAACACAAGAAAACAGAAAAATCTGGGTCAATGTTCTACATATTCATGATAGTCTTAGTCAGCTTGAGTCCTGGCTTTCTCTCTAATTGAGTAACTTTGGGTAAGTCACTTCCTGTGTTTCCTCCTCTGTCAAAATAAGGAATAGATGATCTTTATCACTCAAGGTCCCAGGAAGAAAGAGATGGCACATTCAAATTGGATAATTTGAGGTGAGTCTAATCAGGGAGATTCTTTACAAAGGTGTGGGGAGGGTAAGAAAACCACCAGGGCTAGTAACTAGCACTAGTATGCCAGGGCTAGTAACCATCACTAGCCCAGTCCTCAGTGGGGAAGGCGTGATTGCTAGAATCCAAAGGGAGAAGAGTTTTGTAGAGAAGGTTGTCTTGAGAGGGGAAGAGACCTTGACTCGGGAACATACCGTGCAGTGCCACGGGAAAGGAACTAGAGAAATAAACACTCCAATGCCACCCTCCACCCTTGCTCTGATCTACTGTGGTGTTCCCATTGGCCAAACACAACCAGAAGCCAGAGAGCCAGGGAGGCAGGATGCACTTCATCCCCTTCAGCCTCCTGCAGCACGAAGCAGGCAGGGAAGGAGCAGGGAGCAGAGCTGGGGTAGGCAGGAGGGAGCTGGCTCACTTCCTAAGTCCACCCCGGCTCTGTGAACATACTTCATGCACATTAAACATCCTGTTCTCTTCCAGATGCCAAATGTTAGATGTCTTAGGAGAATTATTATTTTTTTGAGTAGAGAACATGCTAGCATCTTGGGTGAAAGCATCATAAAGCACAGTCTGCTATCGCAGGTGAGCGATATCTATGTTTTGAATGAATAAATACATGAAACAAACAAAATAGTCCCTTCTGAGGTCTAATAGTGAGGAACTAAGAGACTATGTGCAGCATACACATGCATGCACACACACACACACACACACACACACACACACGAGTCTCTAAAGAGCTTTGAGCTTCTCACAATAGCATGGAATTTACTAGGCAGGAAGTCAGTCCTGGGACTCCAACCTTGAGGCAAAACCCATCAAGGCATCCAAAGGGTCCTATTGTAATGCCACCTCAAAGGCCAGGCAGACCTGGAACCCAAGGATTCTAGGCCTGGGAATGACTTGAGGGAGCAGCTAGCACAACTCACCCCTTTATGTTCCAGGCTGGGTTACCTCAAACTGCAGAGGGGCTGGACATGCCTGGCACCGCGCAGAAGGGGCAGCACCTGTGTGGAAGCCATCTACAGCTGTCACTCCCCCACCCACCCCTTAAGACTCACTGTCTCTCATAGGATCATGGCCCTCGTGAGTGTGGGAAAGTTTGCTGTTTTAAAGATCTCAGAGCCCCAAACTGAGTGGGCCTTCTAAAGACCCTCATTCACCAAGCTCTCTGTAGTGTTAGCATCTGCCTCTCATCCCAGATTTCTCCCGCAGCTCCTGTTTCATTTTTAAAAATTCTGCTCTCCCTCACCATGAACAGAGACCCAGAGCAGACCAGTACCAGGTCTGGAGGCCTCAAAGCTTGAAGCTGTTCTCTTGATACTATTATTATCACAAATCTTAATAGAAACAAAACTGCCATTTATACTGCACCTTCTGGGTGACAGGCTCTGAGCCAGGAAATCCAAATACCTAATCTCATCTAAGCCACCCATCACATTGGTGGATCTAAGCCACACATCTAAGCCTCCCATCACATTGGTGGATTCTGCTTCTTATTGCCCATAGGAGGACCCTTAGACAGGTCCTCAGACACTGAGCAACCTGCCTGAGGGCCCACGACAAGTTAGTGGAGAGCCAGTATATCTTTCTGCATCCACCCCACTGTGTCTCCTCCTCTCTGTCAGAATTAGACATGGAAGGGTGAAAGAGCCTTCTCCTTCATTGTGCTTGAGGCCGTTTCATCCTGACAGTCCTGGCCTTGCAAAGAGGGCCTCACTGGGCTGCCTCACCAACCAAGTCCTAAGGGCTTCGCATGGTACCTCCAGGGAGCCTGTTCACCTGCTTCCAAAGTGCTCTCTAGAAGACAGAAAGGAACTAACATTGACAGAGGGCACACCTATGTGCTTGCTGCACTAGACAGGCCTCATCACTTAATCCTCCCACAACCTCGGGAAGTAGGAATTATTATCCCCATTATACAGATGAGGAAACTGAGACCTACCCAAAGAGCAAAGAGTGAAGTCAGTTTTGTTTTGAAAGCCAGTGTTCTTTTCACTGCATGCCACTCCCTCAGAGAATAAAAGAGAAAACAGGAAGGCTAGACAGAGCATCCTAGTCAACCTCTCAGTGATGCAGGGACCTCCTAGAAACATCCTAACAAGGACTCGTTTTGTTATGGAACAGACAGCTCATTCTGTTATGGGACATCTGGAGAAAACACGATACGTGACTCTCTGATGTGTACGCCTTTGGCCTTGGCTGAGTTGTGGAGCAGAGTTTGGGGATGAGGCGAAATTAGGACCTGAAACAGCGGAGTAATTAAGGCAACTGGAGATGCCCAGATCACAGGAATGAGTTACCCAGGTGGAGCCATTTGAAAATCCAATGGGCTATAGCCATCCAGTCTTCATCCCAGTGTTGGAAAAAAATGTGAGACAGGACAGGGCAGAGGACAGAGAGACACCAATCCACACTCCTTGCTATTGACGCTCAAGTAAGTGTAAATCCACTTAATACTGTTATCAACTAATCCACATCTATCATATTACTCAAAAGGACAGCAGGAGAGATTTCATCAAAAGCTGAAATGAGATGCATGCTCTCCACTGCATTCCTTGACCTGCCAAGTGCCAAGCCTATCAGAAGAGAAAACGAGATTGGTTTGTCTGCTTGATTCTGAGTTTACCCACAGTGGCTTTTCAATGATTCCTGCATTCTTTTCTAAATACTCCCATACCATCTGGTTAGAAATCTGTTTTTAAATTTGTTCAAGGATCTTTGCCAATATTACCACTATGAAGTTGATTTTTTGAATCAAAACAGTTACCTACGTCTAATCTGCAACTGGCATCTGCATAGCTGGAAAGCCATGGGTTCCATCCCTAGCTTAGACAAACAAACCCTTGATGTTATTTACATCTGCTCTCAAAAATCATCTTTAAGAATCCTTACGAACAGCAGGAGGAAGTTCCTCACCCATATTCTTGGCTTTTTTCTTATCAGGCAGAACTACTGGACCAAACTGAAGTCATCAAACTTGGGCTAAACACCTACTGACCGTGTGCAGAAACAGCTAGGCCCTGGACATATCCAGCACTGAATAGGGTCCAGTGTGGGACGATATGGAGTCTACCCTTTAGGCCCTGATTCCCTCTTCCCACTCCTAATGACTTTCTCTCACTCTTTTTAAGCAATCCTCACCCGAGCCATCAAGGGCCTTCATCCTTGTCTCTCTTCTTATAAGGTCAGGCACTATATTTTATTTCTCAGTGCATCCCCAGTGGCTAGCTCCATGTCTTCCATGGAAAACACACTCAAATACACACTTGTAACATTGATGACAATGTTGATGATGGGTTGCAGCAAGACACAGCCTAAAGATAAATGAATCTCTGATTCAGAAAGAAAGGATTATGGAAACACATTAAATATAGTGTTGTCAATTAATATGATTACCTATTAAAGCAGGCCCTACAATACTGTAATTGGTAATGGTAACCATGGCATATTCTTTGAGCCAGACCCAGGATGATATTTTTCATGATTAGCTTTTGATTAATCCTACTAGATAGATATTTCATTTACAGTCTATACATTTGTTCTTAAGGATTTAATTGATTGTGCAATTTATAAGTATTAGAATTGCTGTTATGTAAATGAATTTTCAGCCATCCAATTCACTTTAAGGTAATTAAATTAAGTGTGGTTAGTTAAGAACATTAGACATCTGTGAAAAGTGCCTGAGAAAAATTTGTTTTGCTTAGAAGAAGAGAAGGCCTGGTATGTTTCTCTTCTCTCATTTTGTGCTTCTCTCCGAGCCTGGGTTCTCAGCACTCCCTGCCCCTTTAGTCACTGCCTTCTTGCCTCTCCTGCTGGCACTAACTAATTTGTCAGTTAAAGAAGGACACACGTTAAGTGAAAGTAACAACCTGTTTCATTAACAAGCTCAGCTGCTTCCAAGAGAAACCAGAGGGACTGGCGTTCCTTGCTGAGACACTCCTCTCCTCAATTTGTTGAATTGTTTTCCAATTTTGTCGGAATAATGTTGCTCGTGCTATGTGTATTCAACATCAATTTTAGAATCAAAGCTCCGTTGTCAGGTCTAGTAGATCAGGGAACTGAACTTACCCTTCCCTACCTGCTGGATGAATAAGGAGAAAAGTCTCCTTTTCATACATAGTTGCATGGGATAGATGGAGAGTAGAGACAGCATGGAATTTTGAGGTACACAGGCTTGACGTTCAATTCAATTCATTCATTCATGCAATCAACGCATACTTACTGAGTACATATTATGAACTCGGCCCTGTTCTAGGCACTCTGAGAGGCACTAATGGATCAGCCACGGAAACCTGTCTCTACAGGGGCTTTGAGCCCACACTCCATATCTGACTAACCACATGAGACATTAGACATGTTTCTTCAGTTCTCTGAGCCTCAGTTTCCTGATCCATAAAATGGGAATATTAGGAGTAAAACTTTTAAAAGAATAAAATAAGATAATGTTTATTAAGGACTTATAGCGTAGTTCTTAATTTGGGGACCATGGATCCTCAGAGGACCCTGGAAAGAATTGAGGGGCCTATGAACATGGATGGAAAGAATGACATTTTTATTTTGATTACTTCTCACTGAAATGTAGCATTTCTTCCATTGTAAATGCAGGTAAAAATTTACTACTACTATAGTAATAGGAGTCTGTGTGATTTTGTCAGTAATAGAAATCACATGACAGCTGTTGCAGACATCTTGAAATACTACTGAAGCTCATCACTACATCAAAATTACAGATGTTATTAGATCTGCCATGAGATGGTTATTTCATGTGTTTATAAACAAACACATACATTATTGCAGCATAACTTTTTAATGACTATATTTCAGTATAACTGGTTTCCTTTGTAGTTTTACATATTTGAAAACATTACTCTGGGGAATCTATGTACTTCACCAGTCTGCCAAAGAGGCCCGTGGCATCCATAAAATCCAAGGGCCTGATTTAGATGTTGTCGAACACAGTGGTTCTCAAAGTTGAGTATGTGTTGGAATCCTCTGAGGGGTCTGTTAAAACCCCCTCCCCACACCCACCATCACCTCCCAAGTCTCTGACTCTAGGCTGGAACGAGGCCTAATAATTTGCATTTCTAACAAGTCCCCAGATGATGCTGATGCCGCTGATCTAGGGACCACACTTTGAGAACCAGTGGCCTAAGTATATGACAAGTATTTAAACTCCTTTTTCCCCAACATTGACCTGGCACGTGAACACTTTCAGATTATTGGAATGCTACTAAATGATCCAGAACAGCATATTAACACACCATCTGACTCTGCTAGCCAGGCCACGCTGAGTGTTAGCCCCTCCTCCGCCCAAGGCCAAGGTCATATGACCCTGCTGGGCTGCTTGCGGCCTCAGCTCTTCCCTATCTCTAGCTCCAGCTCTGACTTGGCACGGACAATTTCAGAAGCACTGAATATTCTGGGATTTAGCATCAAGGCATACTCGCTGCCTAGCCAGCTCTAATCCTTTGTCCCTTGTCCCCAGGGATGATACCTAGCTTCTGCTTTATTCCATGGTACATGAATCCCTGGCCCATGCCCTAGTTCCTATAAGTCAAGAGCCTGTCCCCATGTTCCAGGTTTGGAGTCCCGGCCAGCATGTGGTGCAACAACCATGTTTCTGATACCTAAAGATTTTCCACCTTCCTGCATGTGTGAGCATTGCCTGCTATTGGCTTTCTTGTTGACATGCTTCTTTCTTTTGCAGGGCCACTTTCCCTTCATAACACCTGCATAACCAGGTGTCTAGTGCCATGTCCTTCAGACACCAGATCCTAGGCCTTTCCAGGGCTCAGCACCTGAGACAGCTCTTCATCCCTAGAATAGGCTTCTTCGGTCCAGGCTCCAGGGTGTCTCATCCTGGTGGAGTTCACTGTAAAACACTGCTTCATGCCTTAAATAACACATTTTTCATGCTTTGCTATTTGGGGCAGTATTGAACATCAGATTAATATAACATCTTTGGAGGGCCAGGCACAGTGGTTCATACCTGTAATCCCAATACTTTGGGAGGCCAATGTGGGAGAATCACTTGAGCCCAGGAGTTTGAGACCAGCCTGGGCAACATTGGGAGATGCTGGCTCTACAGAAAAATTAAAACTTAGTTGGGCAAGGTGGTGTGCACCTGTAGTCCCAGCTACTCAGAAGTTTGAGGTGGGCAGATTGCTTGAGCCCAGGAAGTCGAGGCTCACTGTGATCACACCACTGCACTCCAGCCTGGGCAACAGAGCAAGACTTTGTCTCTAAAGTAATGGTAATAATAATAATGTAACATCCTAGGATGAGCTTATACTTGTAGTATACTGAATTCGATTAATCATTTATTGAGCATCTATTAAGTACTAGACATCATGCCAAGCCTTAGGGATAGAAAGTCAAAAAACTAAGATACAGACCTTGTTTTAAGAAATGCATAGGCTAATATGAGACGTAAACATATAAGTAAGTAATTGAGGGCTCTTTTCATCTCCTCTGTGTATTCATTTGCATAGTTCTGCTCTAGTTAGTCGTTCATCACTAATTCTGATTTAAGTGGACTATTTTTAGATCCTGACAATGATCAGTTTGGGGTTCTCCTTTGGCAGAATCTTTTAGTTCTTTTGCTTTCTTTTCAGAGCTTGTGGCCCCATTCCCTCCCCCAGTGATTACTGGTGCTGAGTTGGCTAATAAAGTGATAAACCACTTCTTTGCTCTACGAAACCAAAGTAACAAACTTAGACAAAGACAACAGCCTTCCTAGGTGGAGGAAGACCGGGCCGTGATAACAAGTGTTTGACTAACTCTATTTTCTGCTAAGCCTACCTGGTATTCCCACTTCCCATCCCCTCATCTCCCTTTGAACATACACCGTGGTTATGGAGTTCCACTGGGACTGAGTAATTTGAAGTTCTCCCCATACTAAATAAGAGATGAAGATCATGAGTACATGGTGAAGAAAAAGAATGCTACACATCATTTTTCCATTCTTTGATTTTTTTCAACCAACTTCAGTGAAATTTATGAAATATGACCATGAAAGCTATCTGGATTCTTACCAATATTATCTGGTCCAAGTCAATCCTACCACTCCAATGCCATCAGTCATGCCAGGGAAACTGCTTGACATACCCTGAACTAGCGCTGTTCTGCTCCAGTGCTGCTGTAATTAATTAGACGTTTAGGAGAGCTGGTGAGTCACCAGTGTTTGAGTCTCAGTTTGGGGGTTAGGGAATGACCCCACCATTCTGCTGCATACAACAGTGTGATGAAACACTGCTTATGTAATAAGAAGTAAGCACCTGGTGGAACATGGTGACAGATTATTAAGAAGTAAATAGTAGGAACTTGTCAGTTGCCTGAAAAGCAGGCTGTGAAACTAAAAGAATGCAAATAATGTAATCATTCACATAGGCATATATAAATAGCACGTGCTTTGTCCAGAGAACTGTTCTGGGGTTACCTAGAACTGCATATGAGATGAACCCAGCTGCTATGAAGTTAAGTCAGATAAGGCAGACTGAATGTAAAGGGATGTTAGTGCTTTTCTGTGTGCACGTGCATATGTGTATAACTAGTATAAAAGAGTCCAACAGAAAAAAAAAATAACAACCCAAGAAAATAAACTGAGCAGAGAAGCCCAAAGTAACTCCAATCACACTGGGCCCCTCTGTCTTTGAATTTGAGCTGAGCTCCAGGAACAAGCACGGGATAGCGGGCAGGCTTTGGAGAGAGGGAGATGCATAAGCTGTGAGTTCTCGATCTGGTGCCATCTATGGCCTTGGTTCTGTCTCGGTAAAATGACAACTAGCTCAGTAAATGGGTGGTAAATTAAATGAAGTAATGTTTAATACTTAGTAAGGTGACTGATACATAGCAGGCATTGAATAAATGTCTTCTCCTCATCATCTAAAAATCATGTGAGCTAGGGCAAAATGGATACCAGTAACCCTATATTTCTATTAGGAAACTGAGCCTCAAAGCAGCTGAGTTGCTCAAAGTCACTCAGTTGTTAAGCTACAGAGATAGGACTTCAACCTTGAATCTGATGCTTTGGGTACTACCCCAGGTGGCTTCTCATTTCACATTTTGACAGATTAACCAACTCAAAAAGAATCCTTTTTTGATATCAAAGTTGGACCACCTTTCCACAAGCTCTAAGCTAGTACTTGGAAAAACAGTCTCTCCTTATTGTCTAGAGTGAATCCTATTTCCTCAGCTCTGTGGCCACAGACAGCTGTCTGGGGGTATGGGGGTTCCCTTTCACACTGTTCTCCCACCTCAGGCTCAATCGCTGTCCTCTCTGCAGCCCAGCTCTGGTAGGAAGCATCCATTCAAGCTCCCCTACATGGTCATCTGTTTATTTCAGTCCCTTTTGGACCATACTCCCAAACTGGCAATTCTTAGAAATCCAATTTTGTCTACTTTTTTGATGACTCTAAAGGACGGAAAGTTAGAGTATCGCTTGTTAATTAATTCTACTTTCCAGAAGCTGAAAATGCATAGTCCTGCTTCCTGAAGAAAATGATCCCCTCTAACTCTTCTGGAAACATTGATATAGGTCAGTTAGTTGGCATTGTATTCGCCATTGTTACCCTTTTAGGACTCCACTTTAGAAAAGCTTACATTTTTTAAAATTGCTGTCATTTAATTACATAGGCAGTTGACTTAAGCTTTATTTTTTTCCATTAAATTAAAATTAAATTAAGCTCATTATTGTATTAGACAAGCATTGATTGTGCCCACTTTGGTTTTAATTAAATGCTACTATTATTTCCTCCTCTGTAGTGCTTTTAATTTTCTTTGGTATATAATTTGGGGTAACCACAATATCAGTAAATTATCCCTCATAAATAATATTCAAAGAGAAAGACAAAACACACTGTGAAAGCAATTTGAAGGTATTTGCTTCTTGTTTTTAATTTACTGGTAGGATATTTATCAGTGAATATTTTTCCATGTTGCTCCTTTGTTATAAAACAGGGCATGCCCGTATCTCTCTTAAGCAGCTCTGACTTTTGCAGTTAATGGCTGACTTCAAGACGTCATTGATCTTCAAAATGTGCTGACTTTATGTGCAACACTGAAGTTATGGTCCAGGGGATAGGTGTTTGAATTTAAGTCTAAGAACATTATCAGAAAGGTTCAGAAAAATGCCCAGAGAAGCTTACTTCATTTTCTCTTTAACATTTATGAAGCACTCATTTCATACCAAACAGTCTCTGGGGTCCTGGAAATGCAGGAATGATAGAGAACCATAGTCTCTGTCCTTCTGGTACTTGTATTCTAAAGGGTAAGAGATAATATACTATATACTGATCCTCATCCACCAAGAAAACAAGATTCTCCATTATTAATTTGGCAACTGTGCCTAGGCCATTATTTTGCAAATCTAGACTTTGAGCAAGATGGTATATTTTGCACTACTCTGCTCTAAATGCAGCACAAGGAGAGATAACATGGGAATGACATAACTGTCCTGAACAATAGACACCGTGTTTCCATCTCTCAAACCCAGAACAGAAATGGAAAGTAGTAAGCAGATCAGCCTGCAGGCCAGCTGAGCTCTGGGGCGGGAAGCAGTCCATACAGCCAGGAATTTGGCCTCTGTGTGATAAATACTTCTAAGGATGACCAGCCAAGATGAAAGGCCAGGGCCAGAATCAGTGCTTGCAGCCAGGGTTCACATGAGATCAGCTCCCACAACCACAAAAAGGATCCTAAAAAAAATGCCACTGAGGCCACTGTTTTTCGCAAGTTGCAGTCCTAGGAACAATGTCTTATGACTCAGACCCGAACCAGACTGCCCAGAGATTGAATCTGGTTCTGACCTTGAGGGAGGACCAAACAGAGGCAACATAAACAGCCAGACAGGAAGGGGTGAGCCTGGCTGGGGAAGGGGAGGACCTGTAAACAAACACCCATCAAGCAAAAGGAGCCTAGCCTTCAAGTACAAAATTCTAAAATGTAAAACCCTGCCAAGAAAGAAAGCCAAAAACCAATCATTCGCATATGAATCCTCTTCAGATTAATAGAAATTTTTATACCAGTCTGAATAAACTTTCAAATGAATACATTTAAGATATACTTGAATAGATACAGGGAGGAAATCTTTTGTTTAAAAAGAGCCAGAAGTTATGAAACAGAATCAGGCTGAAATGAAATGAGAACAGGTAGATATGGAAAAGAACCAATTATACATATTAGAAACACAAAAGATGGTCACTAAAATAAAATCAAAATGAATTAAAAATAAGTCTTAAAGTGTCAGCTCAGCAGATAAGATGAACTCTGGGATGGTCTTGTTCAAATGGAAAATTAGAGGATTAGAATATCCATTGGTGGTTACTCAGAATGCAGCAGAGAGAGATTGTCTAAATATTTGAAAAAGTGGTTTAGAGACATGGAAGATAGGTGCTTAGACATAGTCTAAAAGGGCATCAGAAGAGGAGATTGGAAGAGATGGAGGAGGATCAATACTTGGGAAAATAATTTGAGTATTTTCTGGAACCGAAGAAGGGCAGAATTATTTAGATAAAAGGTTCACTCCAACTAGGCAGCAGGATTAAGATACATCTACTCCTAGACAAATTATAGTGAAACTTTAGATTATCAAAAGTAAAGAAAAAAAACACTAAAAGCTAGTAGAATATTTTTTAAAGGGATTACCTATAATCAGAAAGACATCCAACCTGTCATTAGCAACAACAACAAAAATAACAGAAAACAGTAGATCAGTACTTTCAAAGTGCTGACAAAAAGGAGTTGTCAACATAGAATTTTGCAGTCATTTAAAGTAGTGTTAAGGAATAACGTACAAATAAAGATGTTTTCAGACTTATCAGGACTAAGAGAGTTTAAAATTTATAGATCTCATGAAAAGACTATTGAAGGATGTATTTCTTGAAGGAAGAAAACAAATTTAAAGGGAGGGTATATAAAACAAGGTACAATAGGTAGCACTAAAATGAATAAATTTGGTTGCTAAATTTTTAAACATTACAATTAAGCATTGATTACAAGAAATGATTTAGGGTATCTAAAAATTATGAAACTGAAACACTAGAAAAAAACAAAACTGGAAGTGGTGTTCAGTCTATACTTAAAGCTTGCTAAGTTCCCTGACAATAGAGGAACACTTTAAACTGATCTGATTTAATACCATAAGTCCTAAATAAAATGCTAGGACCCAGATCCAGCAGTGTGTTTATATATGTGTGTGTGCTTGTATATATAGATATATACACACACATATAAAAATGTGTGTGTGTGTGTAATGACCCATTAGGATTTGTCTCAAGAATGCAAGAATGGATCAACAGAAATCATGTTAAGAAGACAAAGTCATTCTATCAATCAATCCATCTAATTACCTACTTATATAATAATAGTATATGATATGGTTTGGCTGTGTCCCCACCCAAATCTCATCGTGAATTGTAACTCCCATAATCCCGTGGGAGGCATCCAGTGGGCAGTAACTGAATCATGGGTGTGGTTTTTTTCATGCTGTTCTCATGATAGTGAATAAGTATCACAAGATCTGATGGTTTTGTAAAGTGCAGTTCCCCCTGCACATGCTCTCTTTCCTGCCACCATGTAAGACATGCCTTTGCTCCTCCTTCGCCTTCCGCCGTGATTGTGAGGCCTCCCCAGCCATGTGGAACTGTGAATCCATTAAAACCTGTTTTTCTTTATAAATTACCCAGTCTCGGGTATGTCTTTATTAGCAGTTTGAGAACGGACTAATATAATATGAAAACATTAATAAGATGGAGAAACACCAAAGTCAGGATATTGACTCTATCTATGAAGAAAGCAATAAGCATAAGATCTAAGAGGAATACACAGGGAGGGTTCAACTTAAAATATATGTCATTATGTTAAACAAAACCTAAATGAAAAATAGTAAAAAGTAATGACTTGATAAAGCCAGGTTGGGTATGTGAGTACTAATTAAATTATTCTCTATGCATTTCTGTATGTTAAAAATATTTCACAATTAAAAGTAAAACGTTATTTAGAGATGAACTGTCTTGGGGCTTTTCAAACTTGGATGTGCACATGAATCATTTGAGAATCCTGTTAAAATGTGGATTCTCTAAGCTGAAGCTAGAGATTCTGCATTTCTAAAAAGCTCCCAGGAGATACCGCCTACTGGTGCACAGACTACACTTTGAATAGCAGGAGTGGTTCTCAAACTTAGACATACACTGGAATTAGCTGGGAGGGCTTTAAAAAGGCCCTGATGCCTGTGTCCTATCCCCAGAGATTCTGGTTCAGTTGACCTGAGGCAGTGCCTAGACATTGGTGTTTTTTGAAAGCTCCTCAAGCAATACCAGTATACAGACAGGGTTTAACACCATTGAGATAATATATTTTCTCATTTCGTACCTAAGAGAACTAAGTCTCTGGGAGAGGGAGATGCTTACCCAGGTCATACAGCTTGCTGGGGACCAGAACCTAATCTTGTAACTCCTATTCCTGCTCTCTTTTCAAGTGCAAATATTTACCACAGTCTTTTCCAAGTTCCTGCCCTTTGGGTTTCCTATTCTAGAACACATGTTGCTCATTCAGTCTTCTCAGCCCAATAACTGCGTAGGAATAGCCTAGTAGAAGAAAAGCAGGCAGATCCAAGGCAGGGCTGTAAATCAAAGCATGCTGCCATTGGCACTCTCCATTATCTCCTTGCCTCCTATCGCCCCTTCATGCACACACTCTCTTGGGGAGCTTCCTACTGTGGATTTTAGTAATCCATGTAGTCGTCATGGAAGACTAAAGAACTTTCTTATCCAAAGACCAGGTCTCAGAGTTTCTCAGTTTTTGTTGTTGTTGTTGTTGTTGTTGTTATTGTTGTTTTTGCTCTCCTACGGCACTCTCCTGCTCTGTCATCAGCTAAAATACAAGACACTTTTAGTTCATTCCATTGTACCAACAATACTCACTTCTGTGCTGAGGACCCATAGGATACATGCCGTAAATAACTGAGGAAACCCTACCTACCTGACCTCACCTCACACCATTAGCTTGGTGCCTATTTAAAGCATCAGGTCACTTTTCCCAGGTGGTGCCAGCTGTCACACCTCTCTGCTAACCTCAACCTCTGTTCTTGCATACTAAGCCACCTAATTTGATACCTCCTCCCTCAGATGTAGGCATAGGCATCTTTCCCCCTCAGTTCTCCTTCACCTTGAAGAAGTGGGATTTATGCCCTCACTCCAAGTCCACTTTCATACACAGAATCCTAGAACTAGACACCAGAAATTCTTGCAGGCCAACCCTCTATTTTATGAAATTATGGCTCTAAACAGTAAAATAACTCCCCTGCTCATGGCACACTGTCCACTGGTGTATCCCATCCTGACCAGCTTGATCCTACCCCTAGCAATATCTCTGCAAGCCCAGAGAAAGCCTTGATGGCTCCAATGCTACTAGGGTTTTCATTCCCGGTACTGGTCTCAAACCAGGCCTTTCTTGAGGGAAGAGGCAGAATTTATTCAGAGGGATATACTACAGGTTTGCACTTTTCCCATTTGAGATCTGTGGTCACAAGGCAAGAAGGGACAGCCACAACTGGTTTGATTAGGTTTCCTCGTAGGTCCACTGCACTGATCATATTCTTTCTTTTAAGGAAGGCAGGACATCAGCCAATTAATCACCTTCTTTCTTTGTGGGAAGAATTGAGGCTTAAGAGCCTTTGAAAATCAAACAGAAAGTCATTCTGTTGCTGAGTTTTAAATATCACCTTGACCCTCTTTCCTGAATGTAAAGTAACCACTGTATCAATAGTCCTTCCTGTCACTTATCACTTTTCTGAGCAGGAGAGCTGTGAACCATGCAAAGAGAAAAATGACAGCTGGAGAGAGAAGTCCCAGAAAGCCATATTTAAGGTATACAAAGAGGAAAACTTTAAACTCAAAAACCATTAAAACTGAAAAGACTTTAGTGATGATGTGTTCAACACCAGTTTTTAGATGAAAAACTTGAGGCCTAGGGAAGAAGCTTTGCCAAAGTCGGAGATTCTAGAAACCTCAATGAAGACAGAGATGTAGAGTCTGACAGAAGCACATTAATCAGTTAAGGTAGGCCTTATCTATGCAATGTGTGCTGATAACATAATATGTATAAATTGAGTTTTGGTAAAATCAAATTAAATGTGAAGTGTATTATGGGAGCTTGTAGTTTCCAGGAATCTTATGATAAAGACTGAAAAATAATTGTCTTCCCTTCCACATTGCTCTTCTATTTTAAATCTAAATTTGTTTACAGGGGAGTTGCTTAAAGCCAAATATATTGGCAATTTAATGAATTCTTACCGTCAAGTTTGTTTTCTTACTAAGAGGAAAATGATGAAATGGTAAAATAGTTAAAGCACTGAACTACAAACCAGGATTCCAAGTGCTAGTCCAGATCTGCCATTACCAGCTGCATGGCTTGGGTGAATGACTGAAACTCCCTTGCTGTTCGAGAATAATCGCTCAGGTCTCGCGTTCACTAAATCTGAAGCTGGTCCTCAAACACAGGAGCATGGGCCCCCATTACAGGAATACACCCACGTGATATATGAGATGGTTCAAAGGATCATGCCGGATCTCTTTTCCTTGTTAGGGACTTTGCTCCAGTGGTCCCTGGACCAGCAACCTCGGCATTGCCTGGGAGCTCATTGGAAATGCAGAATCTTTGGCCTTGCCCAGACCTGGTGAATCAGAATCTGCAAGGTCTCTAAGAGATTCCTGTGCACATTTAAGCATTGAGAAGTGCTGGCTTAAATGATGGCTTTTTTTTTTTTTTTTTTTTTTTTAAGATGTCTGTTCCCTGAGCTTTCTGAGTTCCCACTTTTGCATCTGCCTGCGTGTTGCTGGAGAGTGCCTGTAGCCCCCGGCCTGAGCCAGCCAGCCCCACTTCTGCTTTCCTCCCTGCGTCTGACTGGCCTCTGCTCTTGACTGCTGTGTGAAGTGAGTGGGCAGATTGACTGACAACAGCAAGAAGTGTCAACTCATCCCTGGGGCAACGGGGCAATAAAAAGCAGAGACAAGAAATATAACAGACAATCACCTAGGACCATACACAGTTTAGAGATAAACAGTCCCATTTAACTCAGCAAACTCTGAAAAGATTCACACCTCTCCAAATGCCAGAAGAAATTATAATTTTCATTGTTTTTAAAATAATATTTTACTTTCAGTTATGAAATATTTTAGAGACATAGAAAATAATATCACAAATATTACAAACAGCTCCATCCCCACCACTTAGAATTAGCAGATATTAATATTTCACCCTATTTGCTTTGTTTTTCTTTCCTTTTTTTAAATAAATAAATCTAAAGCCTCGCCTCATCCTCCTTCAGCCTCACGTCACTCTGCTGAGGTTGCTGGTGTTATTCCACATGAGACTGTACTTTTCCTGTATACTATGTGTCCATACCATAGTCAATGCATATTCCTGTTTTTATCACACTGTATATCTCTTTTGCAACTTGTGTTTTTCACTCCACATTATGTTTTGGGGATTTTTCTGTGCTGAAATATACAAAGTCACATGTATTTTTAAAGCTGCTGTTTAGTATTTAGCTGAAAGAACAAAATGCCCAGGAACGGTTAGTTGAAGGGAGTGAGAAGGGCTGTTTAGGAAGAACAAACAACTTTGAGTTATGTGTCTGGTATATTTTAGGTCAAAGATTTCCTGTACCAGATTTCAAGACTCTCATGTCCTTTTCCCAGTCTGAACCTATCCTTTCCACCCCTGAGAAGAATGTTATCTTCCAGATCTTCCTAATTTTGCCAAGGTCACTGCCAGAGCAGAGGGCACCCACTCATCTGGGGGCGGTGGTAGGAGAGCAAAGGACCAGCCATCCCCAGACCCACAGCCAAGCTGCCCCATGTCCCCCTGTGTGACCCTGTGGTCTTCAATCAAATTGCCTGTGACTAGAGAAGGCTCAACTCCCTGAACCCAGCAATACATGAAGAAAATGCAAACACTTTATTGCTACAATTTATCCTAAAGGAGATTTGCAAAGCCACATGCTTGAGATTTATGGTGTGACATCCAGAGATTTCATGCACTGTATTTCTCATTTATGGGCTTCAATTTAGTTAAGAGAAAAGAAGCTTTCTAGAGCAAAACACCCTAAAGCTTTGGTAAGATAGGATATTTAATTAATTCCAAAATCACCAAGCGGGTGAAGAATGAGTTTCAGGCCTGTGTGTTCAAGCGTCCTCTGGGCCTGCTTGTTAGCTACCTCCTAGGTCTTGGCAACAGATCTGTGTATGAAGAAAGACTGAGGCTGTGGTTGAGGTCTCAGAACCTACTACTATCTCCTGCTGCCATCCCAGAAAGCTCAGGATAGGGTCTTTCCCCAGGGCAGTGTAGATCTGCCTGCTTCAGGGTGAGCCATCATTTCGGGGACATCACAGGAGATGGGAGATGTTCAGGGAACCCTGAGTGCTCCCAGGCTCTAGAGCTCTCTCTAACACACTCCCTTTCTCTCCAAGATGATCAGGCTGCCCAGTCTCACAATAGCGAAGACATCCTTTCTTTCATACCAGTCTAGGACCCTTTTATGAGGACACAGGATGTCATGGCAAGGCTTCATTAGACGGCATTCACTTAGGTCTAGGGTCCTATTCTTTGCAGGGCCAGAAACTAGATTTATTTCTGTGTTCCTGAAGCTAGTCAGTCTCTGGGGACATGTCTTAACAGTAACTGAATTCACAAGCCAGCTATGCTCCCACCCTCTGCACCTGCCCCTACCATTCCCACAAGCTGGGACACACTTGTTCTCCCTGACCTTTCCAAATCCTGCCTGCCCTTCAAAACCCAGCTTAAACACTGAGGTCCTCTTTGAAGCCTCTTCTCAGGCCACCCAGCCTTTGAGTGACCGCTTTCTTTGAATATGTCCATGCTCATCGTTGATACAGATCGGCATCAATCCTCAATCACCTGGCAGTGTAAACTGACTTGCGTATGCGTATGACTTATTCCTCGTCAGTCTGTAGGAGCCTTGAGAGCACAGCATGAGCTCATTACTTCAAAGCTCTTCTCAAGTTAAGTACAGGGTAAGGGAGTCATGGAAAGAAGGAGGAGTCGTGGAAAGAAGGCCACCAGGGAGGCAAGTCCTCCGCCTGTCCAAGGCTCTGTTTCCATATATGCCCAGTGATGGGAGCACTCACCCTACCTTTCCTGGAAGGGGCTTGTGTGGCTCATGGCAGACAATAGATGTGAAGGCTGTTCTGGGGCTGCAAAGCCCTTTATACGAAAGCAGGATCATTACAGTCCTGTGTATGGTAAAACATGGTTTGCTGATTGACTCTAACTGGAACATGGAGTGAGAGTTGTCCTCCCCCTAGAGATGAGAGGAGGGCAACATGGGCCATATTCATATGTATGTTTCCATTCACATGGGTGTTTGTATTCCTGTTCATATGTGTGATTATATCAATCCTCATATTTCTATCTGTTGGGTCTGGAGCCACAGGCAGCAAACCTGGGGAGCTTTGAGAAGCTGAGAGTGAGACAGTCTCTTCATTTTTTATGGATGGAGGAGCATACATCAAGAAGGACAGTGCTTTGCACAGCTCATCAATACTGAACTCAGACTCAGGAAAATAGTCTTTTTCTTTTTTGCTTAAAATCAACGTGTTATCTGCTGGCAGAAGTGCCTTCCTTGCTTCGCCTATAGGCTCCTACACAGCACCTCCAGCTAGAACCCAAGATTTCGGATTCTAAATCACATTCACATTCAGCTCTGATTTCCTGATTGCCACCTGGTGCTGGCCAGGGAAGCAATTTCCCCTAAGTCTTTTAGCCATATCTGAAGTCCCCACATTTCTTGTTGCCCCTGCCCACACAGAGCCTCCAGTTCCCTCGCATCCCTCTCCATCCCTCTGCCTGCTGTCACTGTACCTCTGAAACCAGCAGCCGGTTAGGATCTATCAGCTTGGGAACCACTGTGTCCCAGGACAAGAAGATCTGGGACCACTGAGAAGCCATCTGTTTAGTCCATGCCCTTTAAAATCTGGGACCAACTCTGGGTTATAAAGAATCATATAGCACCTCTGATAAAACATTCTGAACCTGAGGGTGGGGACTTCCTGACTTGCTTAGCTGGGAAGGAAAGAAAATCAACATCACTTGAATACATATGTGTGCCAAGAACTCCACTAAGCAATTTCATGGTTTCAATCTCAGTAAATCCTCACCACAACTAGAGAGCCAAGTGTTGCCATTTATTTTGTAATGTGGAATCTCAGAAAGCTTAAGTAAATGTGTCCCAGACCACACAGCTGGTATATAGCAAAGCCCCTTTCTCTTTAGCATGATGCTGCCTCTGGGTAGTGGGATGAGGGGGTACTGGCCATGTTAGTGATGATGATGTCCTTTCCAGGCTCTAGGACCCACTCAGACCTTCCACCCCAGGAAGTATCTCTTGGCTCCTATTCACGTGCCCAAATCTTACCCAGCCTGCACTGCTCAGCTCAACTCTCCCTCGTGGTTCACTTCTTCCTTTGCACACCACAGCCTTTCTAGCCTGGGTGTCCCTAGTCTACATCTGCACCTAGATCCTGCTGCTCCACCCCTTCGCATCAACTCTGTGTGGTCTATCAGGACATATGTGAATGAGGGTGAGGCGAGGTGCATGGTGATCTCCTTGAATCTGCTCCAGTGTCAACCAACGATAAAAGGGCAAGGTGATCAATACCCAGAGAGTCATTAGTAACAAATTCCTAGCTATACATCTCACAACTAATTTCTGCAGTGTGACATCACAGCAAGAAATGCTCCAGGATGGAATCGAACTCTCCACAAAGCCCAGGGCTCTTTTACACACCTAATCTGTCTCCCTGGTCTCTTCTCCCTGTCTTCCCTGGGCAGCCTCACACGCTCTGAGTCTCAGCCCATGCAGCACACTTCCCTGCATCCTCCTGTGCCTTGTCGGGGAAGCACAGCCCTCCTTCTCCACCGGGAAACTCCCCCGGGTCTCAGGGCTACTCACTCCCTCTTCTGTGCTTCTACCACCGACACCCTGTCTCTTGCAGGCACGGGGCCTGTGGGTACACGGAGTTTTTTTCCATATACCTAAACACATACCATGATTGTCTCTGGAGAGTGGGATTCTGTGTGTTTTTTATTTCCTTCTTGATATTTTGATTCATTTTCTATATTTTTCTATAATGTATCTTTCCTACAATTATCTTTACAAGTGGAAAAGAATGTTGGTGTTTAAAATGATTGTGGTAATTTTATGTCCCTACTGTACTGTAGGATCATCCAGGCCAGAAACTAGGCCTTGGTTTGATCTTCAGAGCTTAGTGCAGTGCCTAGAACCTAGAATGCGCTCATTGTATGTCAGATGCATGAAGGACTAGATGCATGCCTGCAGGCATGGGGAGGAGAGGGCAGCATTTGGGTTGGCAGCTAAAGGCTGGGTCTGAGCCGCAGCTTGTGTCTCCTCATCTGTAAAGTGAGCAACAAACCCTGGTGGTCCCAGCATCCTAAGTTGTTCTAGAGGGAGTCTCCTGACCACTCCCGCCCATAGGCAGCGCTGGAGGAGCAGGCTGCTCCCTGGCCTGAGTCTCTGCCCCACTGTCCCTGCCCCATCTGTCCGAAGCAGCCCCACACGGGAGGACCAAGAGACTTTCACTTCATTGCAGTTGTGAGACTCGATGTCACCGTTCTCATTTGCCGCCTGTCTGGGATTTTATAGACATGCTCTCTCTCTCTGTTTATTGTGATGGCAGTTTGCACAATTCCTCTTCAGGCACTCAGAGTCTTCCAAGCATGAAGCTCCCAGAGATGAATGAGCCTTTATCGGGGCCTCAGCGCTGTTCACTCAGTGGGAGCCAGCTGTGCTCTAGGCTGTCTTAAATTTCCAGCCACATTTTCCAAACCTTTGACTGAGAGGCCAGGACCAAAGGGAGATTGGCCCCAGGGGGTCGCCGATCTCTACATAGAGCTAGCAGGGGCTTAGCCACTCACTTCAGGGGAACAATGAGGATGGCGACAGCTGCCTCCCTCTAGTGTGGTCTGGGAGGGCCTGGAGATGCAGCCTCGTCCGGCGGGCCCGAGACTGTTCAGGAATGTTCTCCAGTGTGTGGACCTGGAGATTGAAGGATTCCCTTAGTGGAGGGAGGGATTCTGGGAAAAGATGGCGGGAGAGGCGGATTCTGCCACCTACGCCGTGTGACCTTGGGCAGGAGAGTTCACCTCTTGGGGCCTATTTCTTCCACAGTCAGATGGTAACTGTGTTACCTGAGGGGATGTGGAGTTGGGAGGAGACATTAAGTAAAGGGCAGTCTTCCTCTTTTGCTGCCCCCTTGAGCTCCCTGAGGCCTGAGGTCTTCCAGCGATGGTGGCTCTGGTTCAGCAAGGAAGGGGTTTCTCCAGGACAGGCTACAGGGCCTCTGACCTCGCCCACTGCCTTGCTTGGCCTTTCTTCTCCATTTTCCGCCCTCTCGAGTTGTCTGATGCTTCTGCAGGAAGTCAGCGGAAGGGCTCAGAGACTCATAGGGAAGATGAGTGAGTGGAGGAGATAAGAAGAAGGAATGCAGGAGCAGGGGGTACACAGGAGCCTGGCGGTTTCTTCTGCAGAAACTTCAAGGGGTTCCCTAACTCCTCTCTTCAAAGTGAACACCAGTGCCTGGGCCCTGACCAGCAGCAGGTGTGGCAGCCAGGCCCCGTCCAGCAAAGGCCTCGCAGTAGATAATTTGTTCAGGCTTTTGTGCTTCTATCTTGGCTTTTCAACTTGATCTGATGAACCACCCCTTGCTCCACCTCTCCCCCACTTATATCGCACTAGAAAATCAGCCTGAACTAAACCTCCCCAAATCCAACAGAATAAAAAATTAATTCACGAATACGTTTCTGTACTGCAGTTCTGTCTTGTGAAACACAGCATATTCCTGAATCCACAATTTTTTCCTAGAGGCAAAAAATTCAGATATTATTTCTGTAGAGTTAGTTACACAAGGTAACTGGAAATCTACATGTGATTTTAAATAGAGCACACAACTTTGGCGTTTGGAAAAATATCAAACCTCAGAATTAGGAAGTCATCCTTGTCACCATCAGCACAACCAGCCGTCGTTGCTATTTTTCCTTTTTTTAAGCTAGCTTTATGTTATAGAGCATACATACACTAAAACCACACGTCAGTGGATACATTTTTACAAAAGGAAATCATTCATGGAATTACCACTCGGACCAAGATGTGAAACACTTACCGGCAGGTAAGAAGCCATCTTATGCCCCCTCCCAGTCATTACAGTCCCTTAAAGATCATTACTATTTGACTTCTTTCCCTATAGATTAGATTTTCCTGTTTTTAAATTTTGTGTAACTTTATTTGATAGTATTAACTATTTTGTGTCTGTGAGATATTCCTGTTTAGTTGTATGTAGCAGTAATTCAATTTTGTTGTTGTTGCAGACTATTTCATTGTATAAACATACCACAATATATCCAGTGAATTAGGTTATCCTTATACTTGTCTTTTGGAGCATATATACATTTCTTTTGGATGTTTACTTAGGAGGGTAAAAATGTGTGTCTAGTCAGCTTTAGAAGATATTCTGGAACAGTTTGCCAAAGTAATTGTACCAACTTAACTCCTCCCAGCAATGTATTGAGAATGTGCTCCATAGTCTCAACAACTTGGTAGGGTCCATTTTTTGTTCGTTTGTTTGTTTTTAGCCATTCTGGTGGATAGGAAGTATTGTTTTTGTTTTTGTTTTTGTTTTGACAAAGTCTCACTCTGTCCCCCAGGCTGGAGTGCAATGGTGCAATTTTGGATCACTGCAACTTCTGCCTCCCAGATTCAAGCGATTCTCCTGCCTCAGCCTCCTGAGTAGCTGAGATTACAGGCTAATTTTTGTATTTTTTTTTTCAGTAGAGATGGGGCTTTGCCATGTTGGCCAGGCTGGTCTCAAACTCCTGCATTTCCCTGATGAGTAATGATTTTGAACACCTTTCATATGCTTATTGAATATTTCTTTTGTGAAGGTCCTGTGCAAGTCTTTTTACCCTTTTTTGTTGTATTGTTTGTATTTTTCTTAATGATTTTAGGGCTTCTTTATATATTACAGACAACAGTCCTTAAGATGTATACATTGTGAATATTGCAGATATTTTCTCCAAATCTGTGGCTTGCCTTTCCATTTACTGCTTTTTATATCCTATTCAAGAAATCTTTACTTACCTTGATATCATAAATATATTCTTCTATGTCATCTTCTAGAAACTTTATTGTTTTTCCTTTCACATTTAGGTCTATAATTCATTTAGCATTAAGTAGAGGTATAGGCTCATTTATGTTGAAAAGATTCTCCTTTCTCCACTGCATTGCAATGGCATCTTTGCTGTGAATCAGGTGGTTTTAAGAATAGGTTTGTTCCTGGACTTCATTCAGAGAAGACAAACTTCTCTGTTTGTCTATATTTGCACAAGTACCACACTGTTTTAAATACAGGAGCTTTATAATATGTCTTGATATCTGGTACTGTAAGTGCTCCAACTTTGTTCTTCAAGATCATCTTTGCCATGCTTTGCCTTTTGCATTTCTACGTGTATTTTAGAATCATCTCATAAATTGTCACACAGTACAAATACACACAATTCTGCTGAGATTTTGATTGGGATTAAGTTTAATCTACAGATTTGAGGAGACCTGACATTCTAACTATAGTGAGTCTTCCAGTCCTTAACACATGATAAATTTTCATTTATCAGATCTTCTTTAATTTCTCCAGGTAATTGTTTTTAGTTTTCTTTGTATTCTTGCCAATATTTCTTTAAACTTACTCTTTTGTGACTTTTAAGTGTTTTTATAAAAGTTATTTTTAAAGATTCATTTTTTCTTTTGTGACTAGTATTTAAAAATGTAATTTTTGTTGTATACAGTATTGACTGTGTATTCAAAAACCATGTTAAATTCACCTATTGATTCTAGTTGATCATTTTATTTTTTTTCCAAATGTGCCTTTTATTTCTTTTTCTTGCCTTATTGTATTGGCTAAGAGAACTAGTAAAATGTATGTTAGAAGTGGTAACAGGGAGCCTCATTGTCTTCTTCCTTAATTCAAAGGGAAAGCTTTCAATATTTCATCATTAAGTATGAAGTTAGCTGTAGGATATTCAGAGATACCATTTGTCAGATTGAGGAAGTTTCCTTCCGTTCCAGTTCCTACAATGGCATAAAAAATTTTCCCAAAACTCAGTGGCAAAGAACAACCATTTACTACACTCACAGATTTTGTGGATTGGGAATTTAGACAAGGTACAGTAAGAAAGGCTTGCCCCTGCTTCACAATGACTGGGGAGCTGGAAGACTTGAAGTTGAGGACATGGAATCATTTGAAAGCTTGTTTACTCACACTTCTGGTGGTTGATGCCAACAGTAGACTGGTGGCATCACTACTTGGGCCTCTCATATAGTCTCTCCATAGAGGCTAATTCAGGCTTTCTCATACCATGGTGAGTGGGTTCCCAGGGTGACCGTCCTGCAAGACAGCCAGGTGCCACCTGTGATCTTGCCTTGAAAGTCATCAACATCGGCTGGGTGCAGTGGCTCACGCCTGTAATCCCAGCACTTTGGGAGGCCACGGTGGGTGGATCACCTGAGGTCAGGAGTTTGAGGCCAGCCTGGCCAACATGGTAAAACCCCATCTCTACTAAAAACACAAAAAATTACCTGGATGTGGTGGGGACCACCTGTAATCCCAGCTACTCAGGAAGCTAAGGCAGGAGAATCACTTAAACCCAGGAGGTGGAGGTTGCAGTTAGCCAAGATTGTGCCATTCCACTTCAGTCTGGGCAACAAGAGTGAATGAAACTCTGTCTCAAAAAAAAAAAAAAGAAAAGAAAGTTATTTAGCATCATTGCCACTGCATTCTACTCTGCAAGTTCTGTGAGAGCATGTGGGAACGGAAATATTGCTGTGACCATATTTGGAAAATGCAGTCTGCCACAACTGCTATTCCTAGTGTGCTGAGGTTTTTCATCACGAATAGGTAATGAATGATATCAAATGCTTTTTCTGTATTTATCAAGACAACTGTATACTGCTTATTCTTTTTTCTATTAATATAGTGGGTTATATGGATTGAGTTTTGAGAATTAAACCAACCTTATATACTGGAATAAGCTCAACTTTTTGTGATGTATTACCTATTTGATATATAATTCATACCGATCTGTTAATACTTTGTCTAGAACTTTTGCATCTATGCTAATAAGAGAGATTGACCTGTAATTTTTCCTTCTTGTAGCCTTCTTAGATTTTGTTATCAAAGTTATGCTAACTTTATAAAACAAGACAGAAAATCTTTGTTTTTCTATCTTCTGCTAAGAGTTTGTGTGAAATTGGTTTTACTGCATCTTTAAATATTTGGAAGAACTCATTGATAAAGCCAACTTGGCCTGGAATATTCTCTGTAGAAAAGTATTTAATTATATATCCTATTAACATAATTAAAAGTATTTAATTTTGCATCCTGTTAACTGTGTATCCTACTTAATTGTGTATTCCATTAAAATATAGTTATATATTATTTTACTATGCTGTTCATGGTTACCCTAGTGACCATTAGAGTATATCTTAAATTAGTATGCTTGCCACTCCTGAACAAGGCAAGAACCTGATTACTTAAACTCCACTAGCCACCATCCTTTCTTTTATCCTTTTGTTGTCATGTATTTTACAGCTACACATATTTTACATATCTGAAGACACTATTATTATATTAATTAGCCAAAATTCATTTAAATATTTCCACGTATTTTCCCTTGCCATTGCTCTTTATTCCTTCTTCTATGACTGTTGCCTCCATTTGGGAAAAATTTCCTCTTGCTTCAAGAGCTTGCGTTAATATTTCTTTTAGTAAGGGTCTGCTGGCAAAAAAAAAAAAAAATTCAGCTGTTTTGTCTGAAATGTCTTATTTCACTTTGATTTTTGAAGAATATTCTCACTGGGTAAATAATTCTTGGCTGGCAGTCATTTTCTGCTAGCACTTTAAAGACATCACTCTGTTCTCTTTCGGCCTTCCTTGCCTCTGTTGAAGTCAGTTGTCAGTTTTATCAATGCTTGTTTGGAGGTAATGTGTCTTTTCCTCTCTGGCTATTTTAAAGATTTCCTTTCTGTCTTTGATTTTCAGCAGCTTTATTATGATGTGACTAGGCATAGTTTTCTTTACATTTATTCTATGTGGGACTCACAGAGAAGTTTGAAGTTTTTGTTAATTTTGAAAAATTGTCAGCCAGTATTTCTTCACATATTGCCTCTGTCCTTTCCCTCTTTCCTCTTGTCTGGGACTTCAAATTATATGTATTTTAGACCTTTTCATTGTGACTCACGTGTCTCTTGAATTCTTTTCTGTATATTCTGTCTTTTTTTTCTTCTTCCTATTATTCAATCAGGGCATTTTCTGTGAGTCTCTCTTCCAGTATCCTAATTTTCTGTTCTCTTGTGTCTAATCTACTGTTAAACTCATCTATTGAATTATTAATTCGTTATTGTATTTTTCACTTCTAGAATTTCCATTTGATTCTTATAAATTCCCGTTTTCTAATGAAATTCTTTATTGCTCATCTGTCTTCTTGAACATATTATAATTATTCTAAAGTCTATATTTGATAACTCCAATATCAGACTTCAAGGTCTGTTTTTATTTTTTTCCATTGCTTTTTATATTGGCTTTGGGTCATTTGGCTCTGTTTCCTGTCCTTTCTGGTAATATTTTATTGAATTCCAGAAGCTCTAAAGGTTGTTGTTCTTCAGAGAAGTTTCATTTTCTTTTGGCAGGCAGAAACCTTGATCCAATCAGGATTTGATGATTTAGGGCTGTGAAGTCTCAATGAATGACTAAATGACTGCATAGAATTGGCAGAAATCCACAACTTATTAAAAACTCGTTGGGAGGCTGGGGGATGATGAGTGGGAATTTTCAAGAAAGAAGAAGTCAAACCCTTTGTGGCTGGGAACTTCAATGTCAAGGAGGGGGATGGTGCCATTAAGAGAGCTACAGAAAGGGCCAAAGTTAGGAAAGAGTAAGGAGAGATTTCATGACCACAGAGGTGCAGCATGCCTGTGAAAAGATGCTGGGACTGAATGGGATTTTTATCTTTCTGAGAGAGAACACCCTGAAAGATGGACCTAAAAATAAATGCAAGTGGGCCCTTATCAAAACTAGTATCTGAAGACCACCTGCCACTTTCCTGTTAGATATTACTGTTGATGTCACTGGTTCTCAGCAATTGTCAAATTAGGGGCTCTGGGTATTGAGAAGGCAATTTGGCACAAGATAGTGGCTGGTGATCACTGATTTGGCTAATTCCTTACATTGACCCAACATGTCCACAGATGTGGAATGGTTCTGGAAACTCATCTTTTCATTATCTCATTGACCAGGTGCCTACTCCTCCACTCAGACTGCAAATAAGAGCAGCTTCCTTTAGGAAAGCTTCATAGTATGATCTTTACCCTCTCAGACCTCATTAGGGTTGACTATTTCCAAGACATATCAGCCTTCAGCCTGTGCCATTAGCCCATTTATGCCTAGTGTTCCATTATTGGAACACCAAGCATGTGAGTGTTATTTATATCCTACTGCTCAAGGTCATTGCCAAAGTCTGATTGCAAAAGTTCAAAAAATTGCAACCTCAGGCATAAATGGGTTATTGGTAAGGCAGTTACTGTAGTTCTTTGGTGTGCTAGTTCTTTTTTTTTTTTTTTTTTTTTTTTTTTGAGGCAGGGTCTCACTCTACTGCCCAGGCTAGAGTGCAGTGGTGTGATCATAGCTTACTGCAGCCTCAACCTCCCAGGCTCAAGCCAGCCTCCCACCTCAGCCTCCTGAGTGGCTGGGACCACAGGCACATGCTGCCATACCCAGCTACATTTTTTTTCAAATTTTTTGTAGAGAAAGGGTCTCACTATTTTGGCCAGTCTGGTCCTGAACCCCTGGGCTCAAACAATACACCATTCTTGGCCTCCCAGAGTGTTGGATTACAGGCATGAGCCACTGAGCTGAGCTGGCTATTCATTCTGAACCATGAACTTTTCATTTAGAAGGATTGAAAAGAGAAATGTATGTTCATGAACTTATTATGGGCTCATATCGCTAGCAAGCCAATATTCTTCAAATCTGTATCTCCATGGCTCCTCAACTTCACCCTAAAATATATTTATTAATCTCCCAAGTGCTCAGCATTGGTCTAGGTCAGCAGTTCTCATAATTTTTATCTCAGGACTCCTTTACACTATTAAAAATTATTGGCCAGGTGCATTGGCTCACGCCTGTAATCCCAGCACTTTGGGAGGCCGAGGTGGGTGGATCACTGTGTCAGGAGTTCAAGACCAGCCTGACCAACATGGTGAAACCCCATCTCTACTGAAAATACAAAAATTAGCTGGGTGTGGTGGCACGTGCCTGTAGTCCCAGCTACTTGGAAGGCTGAAGCAAGAGAATCACTTGAACCCGGTAGGCGCAGGTTGCAGTGAGCTGAGATCGTGCCACTACTCCAGCCTGGGCAACAGAGCAAGACTCTATCTCAAAAAAAAAAAAAATTATTGAGGACCCCAAAGAATTTTGTTCATGTGAGTTATATATATCGATTCTTATCATGTTGGATATTAAACAGAGAAATTTTAAAAATATTTACCTATTCATTTACAAATAATAATAAATATGTTACATAACAATATTGGTGTAAATAACCTATTTTAATAAACAGTAACCATATTTACCAAAACTAAAATAAATTTAGAGAGAAGAGTTGTTGTACATTTTTGCAAATCTCTCTAATGTCTAACTTGATAGAAGTCAGGTAGCCTCTGGAAAACTCTGTAATATACTCATGAGAGAGTGTGTGTAGAAAAGAAAAATGATATTTTAGTATTATTATGAGAAGAGCTTTAATCTTGAGGGTCCCTGAAAAGATCTCAGGGCCCCCGAGCCACACTTTGAGAGGAACTGGTCTAGTGGATAGGCTTTTATACCAGAAAGAATGAGCAGATTCCAAGCTCTGGTCTTAGAGCAGGCTCATTTCTTAAAATCATCCTTGTACCTTTTAAAACCAGAATTAATAGAGAATGTACTTGGACTCCATCAGATGGCAGAAAATGATAAACTAAGTGGAAAAGGAAGACTAATTGGCTTATGTAACTGAAAAATCTAAAATAGTGAAACTAGGCTTCAGGCTCTGAGGGCTTGTTCACTGCCATATTCCCAAGGCCAGCAACAGTGCCAAAAACATAGCAAATATTCAATATGTATCTTTTAATTAATTAAACAATAAATTAGTAACTGTTTTCAGGACTCTTTATCCTCAACTTGGCTTGCCATTTTTTTTTTTTTTTCTGTTATCAATAAGACTCTCCATAAGATTGCTCATTGGAAGCCCTGGTCAAACAAGGCTCTTGGTCCTCATGATCCCAAAACAAAAGTCATCCCTTCCTTCACACAGCATGTCAGTATCAGCCCTTCTTGGATCATGTGTCCAAGCTGTATCAACTATTGTATGTGAGGTGAATGGGTATTGCCAGCTTAGAAGGGGAGGAGGGGTGAAATTATTAACAGCCTTACCAGAAACAACTGGAGATGCGGCAGTTCCCAAAAAAGAAGAAATACTGATCACACATCACACAAAATTACAGATGTCCACTAAAGATATCATAATAACCCATCAACAAATGGCTTATCCAATCAAGTGTAAACACAAATTATCAGATGTAAAATATGTGCTCTAATCACTTCAATGATCCAGAGAACTGTCTTGCAGACAAGTTACCAACTGAGTGATTGATTTATGATTATTTTATTAGTTTTAGTCAGCCTCAAAACAAACTCTTCAGCTTTTTTCTACCTCATTTTCATCAAATGTAAAACTTGTGAGAGCACTGTTATCATATGACACACCATTGAGAAGCCATCAGCAATTGCCTGTTACTTACAAGAAACAGTCTCAAACCCTCAAGGCCAAGCCCTTTAATTCATCACAATGGTTCCATGGTTCCTAGCCTCTTAAAATTGAGGAGCCCTTTTTAATGACTTCCATGAATGAGAACCTAATTGTTAGTCATAAATATTGATTGATTAAAAAACATAATGACATTTTAGAATAGATTTCCATGTGATAGCACCCATATGTGTTTGAAAATTATTGTGCATATATTTGTGAGGCATATTTGAAATGTGTTCTCCAGATAAAGCTTGGTGAGTGTGAGTGTGTGAGAGTGTGTGTGTGTCTATGTGTGTGAGTTAGTGTGTGTGTGTATGTGGTTCCCATGACTCTGGACATAGAAACAATAGATGACGGGAACTAAGATGTCAACACAGAGGCTTGGGAGATTCTTTTCTGAGGTCTGTACTAGTGTTTTCACGGCTTTTTAAAGAAGAAGGAAGAAATCAGGCCACATGATGTCCAGAAGCCCTGGAACCATGAAGAGCTTCAGTTTACTGAAGTATTTGTTTGTGATTCCATTTTAGTTTACCTATGTTTTATTAACTATATCTTTCTTTTTTAATATAATTTTGGTGGGTGTTCTAGGGTTTTTCATGTTTATCTTAAACTTCTGACAAGCTGCCTTCAAATAATATGACTATGTATAGTATAAGATCTTTACATTCTTGTATTTCCAATCTCTACCCCCAGCCTTTGTGCTATTATTGTAATACATTTTAATTCTACATATGTTATAAACTCATAATATATTGCCATTATTTTTTCATTAAGCATTCAAATCTTTTAAAGGGATTAAAAGTGAGACAAAATGTTTTTTAATTTGCCTAAATATTTGCCATTTCTGACGTTCTTCATTTCTTTAGGTAGATCCAGTTTTTCATCTGATATCATTTGCCTTCTGCCTGAAGAACTACTTTTAACTTTTTTTGTTTTTGTTTTTTTTTGAAATGAAGCCTTGTTCTGTTGCCCAGGTTGGAGGGTAGTGGCACAATCTCAGCTCACTGCAACCTCCACCTCCCAGGTTCAAGTGATTTTCATGCCTCAGCTTCCTGAGCAGCTGGGATTACAGGCACACACCACTACGCCCAGTTAATTTTCATATTTTTAGTAGAGACAGAGTTTCACCATGTTGGCCAGGCTGGTCTCAAACTCCTGACCTCAAGTGATCCACCTGCCTCAGCCTCCCAAAGTGTTGGGATTATAAGCATGAGCCACCATGCCTGGCCTACTTTTAACGTTCCTTATAGTGAAAGTCCCTATAGAATTTTGTCTAAAAAACTATTTTTCTTCATTTTGAAAGGATGTTTATGTTGAATATAGAATCCTAAATTGACAATCTTTTTTTCTTTTAACACTTTAAAGATATTGCTCTATTGTCTTTTGACCTGTGTGACTTCTGACAATGAGTCTGCTGCCATTCTTATATTTGGTCTCTGCATATATTGTATCTCTTTTTGTTTAGGTACCTTAAGATTTTCTTCTTATCACTCATATTAAGCATTTAGATTATGATGGATCTTGATGTAATTTTCTTTACGTTTCTTCAGATTGGGGTTTGTTAAGCATCTTGGCTCTGTGAACTTAAAGTTTTCAACAAATTTGGAAATCTTTGTGCTATTATTTCTTCAAAGAGTTATCCTCCCTTCTGGGATTCCAGTTACACATATATTCGACTGACATTGTCACTGATATTCTGTTAATTTTTTCCAGTCTTTTTTTCTGAGCTTCATTTTGGATGGTTTCTATTGCTTTGTCTTCAAGTCTAATGATCTGTTCCTCTACAACAAGGTTTCTCAACTTTGTCACTATTAACACTTGGTGCTAGTTAATACTTTGTTGGGGGAGCTGTCCTGTGAATTATAGGATGCTTAGCAATATCCTTTGTCTGTACCCATTGGATGCCAATAGCACCTTCCCCTCATTTCTGACAACAAAAATCACGTCCTCACATTACCAAATGTTCCCTAGTAAAAAACGGGCCCCTGTTGAGAACCACTGCCCTACACTCTCTAATCTGCTTTTAGTCCCATCCGGTATATTTTTTATCTCAAAAATTTCCATCTGGGCCTGTTTCAGTCTTTCATTTTTCCCCTGATTTGCCCATGTCTCCTTTACATGAAGGCACACACAGGCTTCTGTTCTACCACTTGCTTTTATAAATAAATTTGTGTTTGAACACAATAATGCCCATTTGCCAGTATATTATGATGGCTGTTTTCATGACTCAACAGGAGAGTTGAATAGTTGACGACCTGCAAAGCCTAAAATATTTGCATATTTATACTCCAGTTCTTTATGGAAAAGGTTTTTGGCCCCCTGCTTTATATTAGTAAGTATATTTATAAGGTTTATAATAAGCTGTTCTAAGATCATCAAATTCTATTATCGCTTTGACTTCTATCTCTGTTTCCACTGAGTGATTATCTTCTTAATTATAGGTCCAATTTTCTTCTTTTTTGAATGCCTGGTAACTTTTGGTTAGATACTAGACATTGTGATTTTATATCATCAAGGCTGAATTTTGCTAATATTCCCTTAAAGAGTGTTGGATTTTGATCTGGCATGCAGTTAAGTAATTTGTAAATCAGTTTGATAGTTTCAAAGATTGCTGTTAAGTTTTGCTGTGTCAGACTCAGAGTAGCCTTTATTGTGGGACTAATTTAATCCTAATACTGGGAAAGTGTAACTTTTCTGAGGGCTCTACTGAATGACCCATGAGTAACTAGATCTACCTACTTTGGCTGGTTGGGACACAGACTGTTCATAGCCTTGGATCTAGGAATTGTTCAGCCTGATGATTTCTGGTACTGCTTTCCTTGCCCGGTGGTAGTTTTCCCTCATGCATGCATGAATTAGTACTCAGCCAAAGACTCAAGGGGACGCCTTTACAGATTTCCAGAACACTCATATTCTCTCTCTCCCCTACATCTCCCATCCCAACCTTGACTTAGTCACCAAGCTGTGTTTGGTTTTATTCTCTCTGCATGGCAACCTGGAAACTGCCTCCAGGCAATAATCTGGAAAAATTATAAGTGTCACTTCATTTGTTTCCTTTCTCTCAAGGATCACTTGTTTCCCTTCTCTCAAGTCTTGTGCTGTCTGTTGTTCAGTGGCTGAAACCCACCATTTTTTCTAGATTTCCAGCTTTCTATTTCTTTGTAACATGAGAGCAATCCCTGTAGCAGTTAATCCTCATGAGCCAAAGTAGAAGTTTTTGAGGAGCTCTGAATAAACCAAAGAACAGACTTTCATATTAAAACATATTTTCAGTATGAAACATACCATATCTACTGTGAACAGCAGTCATCATTTTCTGTGGTATTTCAAGTGAATGGAATGTCTGGAATCCTTCTTCTTGCTGCAACAGTCAATCCAAAACAAGGGAGCACGTAAGCACTAATTTCCTTGGGTATTTCACATGTTAAGAGAAGTGGGCATCTAAACCATCCTGTAAAAATCCATCTAAGGTCTAAAAGAAGGAAATAAAATTATCCTTCATTACATGTTTTTGGTTTATTATTGTTAGCATGTTAGTCTTAGGTCGGATTTATGGTGTAGGTTTTTACGATTATATGTTATAAGACTACTTTGATTATACAATCAGCCCAAATGTGCTGTAATATGTTCTATATATTTATTCCCATTTTATAGGATTTGGATCATCATTTTATTATTTCAGATGATGTTACATTTTGCTCTTGTGCCTTGTTATTGGCTATATTTATAATTAATTGGATCCTAAGTCTTTGGTTAACAGCATAACCCTTTTTATGACATAATTCCTATGGGGAAAATAGGAATCATTTTATAATGATTTGCTTTATAACACTGTTTTCAAGGACACATTGTAGCAAAAAGGAGCCATTGCTTTAAAAGGACTCTAGTTTAACTCTTGCATTTCTTCTCAGTATGGTACAGGCATACCTCATTAAGATATTCCAGACCACCACGATAAAGCAAGTATCTCAGTAAAGCAAGTAACACAAATTGTTTGGTTTTTCCAGTGCATATGAGTTTTGTTTACTAAGTGTGCAATAGCATTATGTCTAAAAAATGTACATACCTTAATATGAAAATGTTTTATTGCTAAAATATGCTAACAATCATTTGAGCCTTCGGTGAGTCAGAATCTCTTAGCTCGTGGCAGGTCTGACCTCAATGTTGGTGGCTGTTGACTAATCAGGGTAGTGGATGCTGAAGGGTGGGATGGCTGTGGCAATTTTAAAAATGACAGCAATGAAGTTCGCTGCATCAACTAACTCTTCCTTTTATGAAAGAGTTTTCTGTAGCATGTGTTGTTGTTTGATAGCGTTTTACCCACAGTAGAACTTCTTTCAAATTTAGAGTTAATCCTCTCAAACCCTGCTACTGCTTTATCAGCTAAGTTTATGAAATATTTTAAATCCTTTTTGTCATTTCAACAATGTTAACAATATCTTCACCAAGAATAGATTCGATTTCAAGATACTACTTTCTTTGTTCTTCCACAAAAAGCAACTCCTCTTCCATTCAAATTTTATCATGAGATTGCAGCAATTCAGACACATCTTTGGAGTCTCCTTCTAATTCTACTTCTCTGGCTGTTTCTACCACACCTGCAGTTGCTTTCTCCAATGAAGTCTTAAACCCCTCAAAGTCATCCGTGAGGGATGGAATCAACTTCTTCTAAACTCTTGTCCATGTTGATATTTCGACCTCTGCTACAAATCAAAAATATTCTTAATGACACCTAGAATGGTCCTTTTTTTTTTCCAGAAGAGTTTCCATTTGCTTTGCCCAGATCCATCAGAGGAATCACTATCTATGGCACTTACAGCCTAACGAATGCATTTATTAAATAATAAGACTGAAAGTTGAAATTACTTCGTGATCAATGGGCTGCAAAATGGATGTTGTGTTAGCAGGAATGAATACAATATTGACTTCCTTATACAGCTCCATCAGAGCCCTTGTGTAACCAGGTACATTGTCAACAAGCATATTTTTAAAGGAATCTTTTTCTCTGAGCAATAGGTCTGAACAGTGGACTTAAAATATTTAGTAAACCATGTATTGTGATCCAGACTTCGTTGTTACATTTATAGGGCACAGGCAGAGTAGATTTAGCATAATTCTTAAGGGCCCCACAATTTTCAGAATGGTAAATGAATATTGTTTGTAACTTACAAGTCACCAGCTGCATTTGCCCTTAACAAAAGAGTCAGACTGTCCTTTTAAGTTTTGAAGCCAGGTATTGACTTCTCTAGCTATGAAAGTCCTAGATGGCATCTTTCAATAGAAGGAAGTTTTAATCTATATTGAAAATCTGTTGTGTAGTGTAGCCACTTTCATCAGTGATCTTACCTAGATCTCTAGATAACTTGCTGCAGCTTCTCCATCAGCACTTGCTGCTTCACTTTGTACTTTTATGTTATGGACATGGCTTGTTGCCTTAAACCTCATAAACCAACCTCTGCTAGCTTCAAACTTTTCTTCTGCAGCTTCCTCGCCTCTCTCAGCCTTCCTGGAACTGAAGAGAGTTAGAGCCTTGTTCTTGGTTAGGCTTTGGCTGAAGAGAATATTTTGGCTGATTTGATCTCCTATTCAGAACACCGAAACTTTTCTGCACAGCAGCAATAAGTCTGTTTCACTTTTCTTATCATTTGTGTGCTCCCTTGAGTAACACTTTTTATTAAAAGTCCTCCAAGAACTTTTCCTTTGCATTCACAACTTGGCTATTTGGTGCAAGAGGCCTAGCTTTTGGTCTGTCTCAGCTTTCAACATGCCTTCCTTACCAAGCTTAATCATTTCCAACTTTTGATTTAAAGTTAAAGACATATGACGCTTCCTTTCACTTGAACACTTAGAGGCCATTGTAGGGCTAGTAATTGGCCTCATTTAAATATGATGTGTCTCAAGGAATAGAAAGGCCTGAAGATAGGGAGAAAAATGGAGAATGGCATGTCGGTGGAGCAGTCAGACAACATTTATTGATTAAATTCACTGTTTTATTTTGGCGTGGTTTTTGGCATCCCAAACCAATTACAATACTAACATCAAAGATCACTGATCCCAGATCACTGGAACAGATATAATAATAATGAAAAAATTTGAAATATTGTAAGAAGTATCAAAATGTGACACAGAGACAAGTGAGCACACACTGCTGGAAAATATGGTGCCAATAGACTTACTCTATGCAGGGCTGCCACAAATCTTCAGTTTGTAAAAAATGTAATGTCTGTGAAGTGCAATAAAACAAGGCGTGCCTGCATGTGTATATGACTTATGTCCTCCGCTGGGTAACAAATGTGCTTAGAACAATGATCAAGTATTGCATTCTTTGTATCTACAATGCCTTACATTTAAGAAGAAAGCAGCATGGCATAATGCTATTGTATTTCAAACGATTTTTTCATGCATCAAAACTCTTTCTTTAAATTGTATTTTACATGGAAGCCCAATTTAGAAAATATATTAACAAGAATTCTTCTGGCTGAAGTGAGATCAGGAGCTCAGCCCCCACATCTTGCTGTGTTCGTTCCACTCCTACTGCAAGGTAGTCACTAAAACCTCTTCACTGTGGAGCAAGGCTCCAGGGTGGATGGGTCAAGATTTGCAATGAGTCAAGCTGAGTTCCAGCTGAGGATCCACTGTGTACTTGCTTAGAGATTTGGAGTGAGTCACATAACCTTTCTGAGGCTGCTTTTTACAAAACATGGATTTTAATCATTATAATACTTCTATATCAGTCAGGAATGCTTTTAGCTGAAAGTAACATAAAATTCAGTTTATGGTGATCTAAACAGAGATTCGCTTTTCTTACTTAAAAATAAGTTCAGAGGTATGCAGTTACTAAATGTTTTTTAGACATTCAGTGATATTGTTGGGGACCTCAGCTGTTTTTATCTTTCTGTCCCATCATACTTAGCATTTTGGCTTTTATTTGTATGCTTGTTACTTCAGTGTCACAAGATGGCTATTCATTTATAAGTTCCAGGAAGAAAGAAGAAGCAAAGTCCTCTACCTCTGGAAGTTGTTTGTTTTTAATTCAGGAAGAAAAATTCTCCCTCAGCACACTTAAAAAAAAAAAATCATTAGCTAGAACATGCCCATCCTTAGCCAATCAGTTGCCAAAAATAACGAGTTTGCAACAATCAAAGATTTCCGCCTGAGGATTAGATAGGGACTTATGTTCCCAAGTTTTAAGGAATCTCCAGCCCAACCTCTGAAAACATCAGCGTCCTGCTGACAGAAGAGAGGGAGCAGCAGAGGAGTGTCCATTGGTGTCCGCCATGTCTGTCCCTATTCCTGCCTGAAGTTTAGATGGCTGCCATGTGCTTCAAATGTGGATGTTGGAGAAAGTGACTTTCAACCTATAAAAGCACCAATGAAATGAGATCATTCATTATGTTAACCTCTCGGTAAATTAAGGAGTGAACAAAGGGGAAAATTTCAATGGAGAATAAGAATGACCTTGAATGTCCTAAGTCAGCAGTTATCAAAGTCTGCAAGTTTCAGTGTGCTGCAAGAAGCTGTTTGTTTTTAAGGCATATGTTAGATGGCATCAGAAGGATTGTTAATTTAAAATATAAATTCAGTCCTACTGAAGGTGGACCTCTAGGTGAGTCCCAGGAACTTATATTTTGAAACATTTCCCAAGTGACCTATAAGCCTATTAAAATGGAAAAGTGTGGTCCTGTATGACTGGGAACCACTCAGTGAGGCAAAAGCAGGTGTTCTTGGGTAGATGTGCACCTACAATGGGCATTTGGGAGTATCAGAAAGGGGAACACCAAACAAAAGGGCAGGTTGCTGACTGGTAGCTGTACCTTCTGTTTAGCACAGCCCCTCCACAGTGTAAGCACTCAATCATGGCAGCAACTTTTATTCTTACTGACAATTTTCTCCAGCACCAGGAGAATTCAATCTTAATGGAGGCTTCAGCTATGGTTCAGTTGTTCAGTCACTGTCTGTGAAATGAAGCCACTATCACCCAGGTCTGCTTGTGATAGACATCATTGAAACTCCTAATTTGATCCACAGGGAACAATAGGAAATTCCCAATGCATTCTGTAGGTCAATAAGAAATGTTAAGCCTCAAGATTGTGTTGAAGGCATTTGCAAGATTGATGCAGTATCTATAAAGGGCATGGAGTCCCTCAAATGAAAGACAGCCCAATCAAGGTGTAATGATTAGCGACATCTCCTTAGCCCAGAGCATTGGAAAGTGCAGATGATAAATTACTATAAACGCTTAATGGAATGCTTCAAAGTTCTATGTAATATTACAACATAGCGTCTCTGAAGCTAAGTCCCCGGGTGTGACTGAGCAGATGTTTTCCTGGTTGATTTTGAAGCAAATTAATCAAGTTATGGATGATTATTCCAGGCTGTGTGTCCCAAGTTACATAACTGTACCTGAAATGATTGTCAAATGTAAACAAATGTATACCCAAGCATATACGTTTAAGTTTACATAGCTATGTGTGTGTACATGTATGTGTGCATGTATGTATATGTATACACATTGTAAAACACTGTGGGAGTCACATGTTAAACACGATTATAGGTTTAAAAAGTAGATTACATGTCTCCATTTGTCATTCTTAGAGTCTTTTTTTCCTATAAGCTAAGCACACCGGTAAGCTTTCACAAAGGCTATTGGTGAGAGTAGCATCTGAGACCTTCCTGACTTCCTAAAGTATTGATGATAGTACTTTCAAGATGCTGAAAGACTGTGGCTGGACAGGAGAAAAGTATGTGTGAAGGATTTTTTTGTTTTAGTACCTTGTACAAGGCACCTAACCTCTCTAAACATCAGTTTCCTCATCCATGAGAAGGAAATCATAATACCGACATCAAAGGATTATTGTGGGAAGTGAATGAAATAATGTATGTAAAACACCCAGTACAGTCTGACAAATAGTAGACTCTTGATAAACCACTGTTATTGGTTTTATTTATCTCTATATGTAGATGTGACAGGTTTGAAAACGTGATCTGAACCCAAGCTCCCTGATTCATAGTGTTGTTTGAAGGCACCATCTGAGAAGGAGCAATGTAAGAAGACAAAGAGTCACGCCCAGACCTAGACAAGTGTACAATAGGGTTCAGGGCCTCACCTGGGCTCCTGCAGGAAGAGTTCCCCTGAGACCTGCAGATGGAAACCTGTCCATACACAGAGGCCATAGATGCACTGCAAATGATCTGGAAGAAGCCTTAGAGAAGTACTGTTTGGAATTATCCCCTGAAAGCCCATTTCCCAGCAGCAGCTGAAGCCCTCCCTACTCCTAACCGAGGCTCATCCCTTCCGGTTTACTTCTTCACCTTATTTCTGAAGTTCACCTGAGCATAGATGGGCAGATGCAGTGACTCACCACCCAGAAACACCATTCAGCCAGGTGGGTAAGATTCCAGCTCCTACATTTCAATCGAGCCAATGCTGAAGTGTTAGCTGGCCTAGTGGACTAAGTAGGTAAGGAAGGATACTCCCTTCACTTTTCAGACCCAGAGAGGTACATCTCCCCTTCTGTTTTAAACTCAAGAGAAAGTTACCACGGTGCCTTTCTGCTTTCAGTGTGCTGCAAGAAGCTGTTTGTTTTTAAGGCATACAATGGAGAAAGCAGGGTCTCCAGACTGGCTTGTGATTACTTTCTTTCTTCTTTGAGTGTGGTCATCTTGCAGTAGAAATGTCGTTCTATTTTGTCTTTATGTGCGTGGCCACTTTTCAGTTATTCTCCCCTAACTGAGAAGGCAAGGGCACACTCTGTATAAATTGTATATTCTCTGTAAAGAAAGAAACCAGTACACGTTGAGCAACTATTAGGAGATGGAGCATTATTCTAGATATTTCACATGTGACATCTAATTTAATCCTCAAAAATAACCCCACAATCTAGGTGGTAATATTCCCATTTTTTATTATGGTAAAATACATATAACATAAAATTTACCATTTAACCATTTTAAGGGTACAGTTCAGGGACATTAAGTATATTCATATTATTGTGCAATCATTACTGCCATCCAACTCCAGAATGTTTTTCATCTTGAAAACTGTAATTCTGTACCAGTTGAGCAATAAGTCCTCATTCTCCCTCTAGCCCCTGGCAACCAGCATTCTACTTTCTATCTCTATGAATTTGACTACTCTACATACCTCATGTAAGTGGTATCATACAATATTTGTCTTTTTGTGACTGGCTTATTTCACTTCTCATGTCTTAAAGGTTTATCCATCTCGGAGTGTGTGTCAAATTTTTTTTCCTCTTTAAGGCTGAATAATATTACATTGTGTGTGTGCGTGCCACATTTTGTGTAATCATTCATCTGTCAATGGACACAGGTTGTTTCTACTTTTTGGCTACTTTGGCTGCCATGAACGTGGGTGTACAAATATCTATTTGACTCCCTGCTTTCAATTCTCTCCAGTATATGCCCAGGAGTAGAATTGCTGGAGCATACGACAATTCTATGTTTAACTTTTTGAGGAACCACCAAACTGTTTTCCACAGCCCCTGCACCATTTTACATTCCCAGCAGCAATGCACGAGGGTTCCAATTTCTCCTCCACCTTACCCACTCACTACTCTCATTATTTTCTGGACATTGTTGTTGTTGTTTATTGATAATAGGCATCCTAATGGATATAAAGTGGTATTCCCACCAGGCTCAGTTTTAATCTAGAGCTCTTTGGCCTCAAACTTATGGCTGTGTTCCTTGCACCCCCACAATGCTAGGAGTGCAGGGACCTCGGGAAAACCACAGAGTAGAGAGTCTGTGTAAGAGAAGAGCCTGGTTGTGTCAGTTCTCTTTTTCAAGAGCCACCCAAAGATGGAAAGGCAGTCTCTGCAACATAATTGCCCAGTCAAGGGCACAGCCCAGAACTTCAGTCTGTGCAGTTATAAATAGAAGCTTTTGAATTCCCATTTCTCTTACTTCTCTTAGTCAGTCAAGTGGTTTTTGACCTTTTCTTTCTTGCATCCGGAGGAAGGTTCCCCCTGGGGATATTGTGCTTGTTCCCTTCTGCAGCCAATTAGATCATTTTGATTGTGGAGCTAACAAAACAGTCCTTATTTGAAAACTGACAGTGAAAGAGAGAAAAAGAGACAGAAATAGAAGCAGTGAAAAGAAGACGGAGGGAAAAAAGAGAGGATTGTGAGGTTGATGTAATTAGCATGGCACAGCGTTTCAGCCAGTTAAACAACATCCATTTCTGTCCCCCGCACACAGGACAGCAGAAGTCTCCAAGCTGATCAGACCACAGGCCCCACCTTGCTGCTCTCCCAGGGTAGGAGAGGGTTTTCATGTCTTCGTCATCTGACAGATGACACAGCTAAGGCTCAGAAAAGGCAAATGCCTTCATTGATTCCACTGAAATAATATGAGACAAAGGCAGGACTCCAGTCTGCTGACAGTCCCTCTGGGCTCTCTTCACACTGTTCCCGCCACCTCCTGCTGCCACACCTTGTGAAAGAGACCAGGACCAGGACCCTTTCCTCTTAAAGTCTCGTCTCTCTCTTCTGCAAATGTCTATTATGAAATAGACATGAAAGATGGGGCGAAGAAGTGAAGAGCTGGATTAGATGACGTCTAGGACCCTTTTCAAGAGCTCGGAATGAGAGAGAGCTAGATTTGAGTTTCTGGCTTCATGGCCCTATTGTGTAAATTAGGGCCAGTGATTTTCTTCTCTGAGCCCGCTTCCTCATCTGTGAAGCAGGTACATGAAACTAACCGCATAGGACTTTTATTTGAACAACTAAGGGAGTATAGAACTTTAATTTTAATAGTATATAACTTTAATAGTATATAATTTTAACTATATGTATCAATTGCCAATTATGTGCCCAGTATATAGGCACTTATGTACTAGGTGATGGGTTTATAGGAACTCTCTGTACTATTTTTGCAACTTTTATTTAAATATAAAACTATCTCAAAATTAAGGTTTTTGGTTTTTTGTTTTGGTTTGTGCCTATTATATAGGCATATGATTAGCAATTGATATATAGAATTAAAATAATATTCATCAATGCAATTTCATTCTTTCTACTGGAAAGACACCCCAAATTTTGAGCCCTTCTTGTCTCCTTAGATTTGGAAGACAGCACAGCATATACAATCAGATCTTCGTGTCTGTGGGTTCTGCATTTGTGGATTCAACCAACTGAGGATCAAAACTACTAGGAAAAAAATAAAAAGTAACAATACAACATAGAAAATAATACAAATTAAAATATAGCATCACAGCTGTTTACCTAGCACTTACATTGTATTAGGTATTGTAAGTAATCTGGAGATGATTTAAAGTATATGGAAAGATATGTGTAGGTTATATGCAAATATTATACTACTTCATATAAAAGACTTGAGCATTCTTGAATTTTGGTATCCACAGGGGGGTCCTGGAACCAATCCCCCAGAAATACTGAGGGATGTGTATGATTTTCTATATCCCACAGTTGAAAATAAATTCAATTCTATAGGTCATCCAAGAATGGGCCCTATTTTACTGAATTAGTCTTGCTCCAATTTCTAGCAGTCTGTAGAGACTCACATATGCAAGCCCTCAGGACCCAGGCCTTAGACTGTGACAGTTCCATCCGGTAGCCAAAGTTATTAACCTGCCCACCAAAAGCTGGAGAACTCTTTTGGGGGAGCACTGCGTGTGTTAATCCAACTATTGCATTTAATCCAAGTTATTAACTACTTGAATTAAATTGAACTCAATCAAACATCTAGAATGTGAGATCTCCATGCTTTTGTGTGTCCCTGGGGTATGCTGGATGCTGTGAGTGAGCCTTTTCTCTGAGGTCCTTAACAGGCCTGTTCTGTTTCACATCTTCTTCAAGGGATACCTCAAATTTTCCCAAAACTGTGCAGTCCTTCTCCTCACACTTGCTCCATATCGTCTTCCCTTCCTCTTTTTCTTTCTCTTTTCCTTTATCAGCTCCTCTTTTCTCCTATTCCATCTTTCCTTCTTCATTCTCAGTCTTCCTGTCATTCACAAATAAATATTTAATATCTACTATGTAGCAGGTACTGTTCTAGCACAAGGCAGATAAGCCCTTGCCCTCAAGAAACTTGTATTTTTTTCAAAAAAAAGAAACTTTTTATTTTAGGCCAGGTCCGGTGGCTCATGCCTAAAATTCCAGCACTTTAGGAGACCAAGGCAGGAGGACTGCTTGAGTTTAGGAGTTCAAGACCAGCCTGAGCAACATAGTGAGAACTCGTCTCTACCAAAAAATTAAAAAAAAAAATTGCCAGGCATGTTGGTGCACACTTGTAGTCCCAGCTACTCAAAAGGTGAGGTGGGAGGATGGCTTGAGCCTGGGAGATTGAGGCTGCAGTGAGCTATGCTCATGCCATTGCACTCTACCCTGGGCAACAGACTGAGACTCTGTCTCAGAAAAAAAGAATTGTTTTGAGATAGTTTGATATTTAAATAAGAGTTGCAAAAACAGTACAGAGTTTCTATAAACCCATCACCTAACTTCACCTTATGCCAACATCTTATCTAACTAAAACATAATTACTGAAAACAGAAAATCAACATTGATACAATTCTCTTAGCTATCCTACAGATCTTATTAGATTGTTGCCAGTTTTCCTACTCATTTTTCCAGTTCAGGAGCCAATCCCGTTTCCTGCATTGCATTTAATTATCGTATCTGCTTATTTTCCTCCCATGTATGACAGTTCTTCAATCTGAATGCATCTTTCATGACCTTGACACTTCTGAATAGAATCGCCAGGTATTTGGTACAACGTCACTCAATTTGCATGTGTCTAACCTTTTCTTCTGAGTAGACTGAGGTTCTACATTATGGAGAGGAGACCCCAGAAGTGATGGATCCTTCTCAGTGCATCATATCAAGTGGGCATCTCATGTCAAAATGTCTTGTAACTGGTGATGTTAGTCGTCGGTTACACTTGAAGTTAACGTGTGGAGAGGTGGCAACTGATGGTTTTCTCTTCTGTACTAAAGTTTCTGTTTTCTCCATTATAATTAATTAGTATCTTATGGGGAGATACTTTGAGACTATATAAATATCCTGTTTCTCATCATGCTTTCCTCCATTGATTTTATTATGCATTGTTTTTGAGCACTTCCTTACTCAAGAAGCTTACCTTTTATTAGGAGTTAGACAATGAAGAAGTAACGAAATAAATGAGATGACTTTAATGAAAGCGTTATAAAGAAAGTGTAAGAGGGTGAAGTGAGAGCAAAGAGGTCTACTTTAGAGGGCACATCAAGGAAGTCCTCTCTAAAGACGGGACATTTAAGCTGAGTCCTGAATGAAGAAAAAAAAAAAAAAAAAAACAAAAAAAACTTGAGTGAGATCTAAGAGAAACACACTCTAGGCAAAGCATACAACAGCAAAAGCCTTGAAGCCAGAACAAGCCAGGCCTGTTGGAGAAAAGGAAATCAGCCAGGCATGGCTGGAGTGCAGGGAGTAAGGGGCCAAGTGTAGAAGACAAGGAGGAGGAAGTAGGAAGAACCAAATCAAGTGACGTCTGTAAGTGGGGTAGAGAGTGGGGACGTTTTCGAAGCACAGTGCAACCTCCTTCGTTAAATATATTCTCAACTGTGCTGTCCAATAGGGTAGTCACTAGCCATGTCAGCTACTTATATTTAAATTGTTATTGATTGAAATCAAATAAACATTTTAAAGTTCGGTTCCTCAGTCACAGTAGCCACACTTTGAGGGTCCACTAGTCACTCTGAGGCTAGCGGCTGCCCTATTCGACAACACAGCTATAGAACAAATTCATCATGGCAATAACGTCCACTGGACAGCGTGGCTGCGTGTGTTTTCTGGAGGTCATTTATTATGTTAGTTTCTAGGGGATACGCAAAGTTGAATGAGTTATGGCCCTTATTCTCCAGGAACTTCAAGTTTAGGAGACAAATATGCAAATAAACATAGTACCAGACAGCTCATATTAAGAATCACGGGCATGGCACAGAAAAATTGCTGTCGGATTTGGATGCGGCACTGACAGGAGATCAAAAGAGGCTTCCTGGAGAAGCAGGGGTTAAATGTCTAGGTAAGATTCTTTTGGGTTGAGAGGAGGAAGTTATGTCCAATGGAAGTTTGATATGAGCTGAGGTTTTCGAAGACAGCAAGTACAAGATGAGGATAGCAAGTAGTGTAGGTTGGCTGCAGTTTGGTTGTGTGTGTGTAGGAGAATGTGAAAGGGAGATTTTAGCAGGAAGGAGGGCGATAGAGTGTGAAGGGCCTTGGAGCCAAGCTAAAGAGTTTTATCTTTATCCCAGAGGCAGTGGGGGAGCTGTGGATGGCTCTTACCAAAGGAGTAACATTATTGAAGTTGTGCTTAAGAAAGATTGGTCAGTGTGCAGCATATGAAGTGGATGATGGCTGGGGAGATGGACTGCAGAGAAAGGGTGGGAAATCTATTTGCAGTAGAGCAGGTGTGAGGTCATTCCTCTTCCAGCATCTATTTTTCTGAAACCTGAAAGCATTCTCAAGCACAAGAAGACAGGCTGCTTGAAATATAACATTCAGAAATAAACCTGAGATTAGAAAACACACCACTTACTCTTTATAGCAAGCAAACATCAGACCCACAGGATGTAATTAAGCTCGTTGAAAAACAGGCACTCTTTGTGTGTGTTTATTTACACAAATCAGGGTTTTGTAAACTTTAGGGCTCATAAAAGTCACCTCGAGCAGCTTATTAAAATGTGGAGTCCTGAGCCCCGCCCCCACGGACTCTCACTTCATATGTCAGGGATGGGGCCTAGGAATCTGTTTTTTAACAGGAATGCACTATGATTAGGGTAGTCAGTGATCTGAGGAAAGGCGCCTGAGAAACAATGCCCAACCTCTTTTCCTTTTCAGCTTTCTAACCTCAAGCTAACAGGTTCCTCTTCTCATTATTTATAGGCCATAGTCCTGCAAACATGAAAATTGTTCCTCTCTCATTATGCCTTTTTCTCTCACCTCCATGAATCAGTAGACTTAAGAGAACTGTAACATATTTTTTCCATTTATAATTTTTTATTTTATCCACTTAAAATAGGCTTAAAGAATTACCCTTCATTTTTTCTTTTTCCCCAAGTGCTGATTTCCAGAGCTTAATCTATCTACCCTCTGTCTATGTATCCCTTATATTGGCGTTTGTTTTTCTTTGCCCTGTCTGCCCCACACAACCAAAAACTCTGAGGGCAAAGACCTTGTTGCAGTCACTTCTCTGAACCCTACAGGGCTCAGCCCTGTGCCCTGGAATTGTCCTAGTTAGCCCTGGTACAATTAGAGGGCTGGCCCAATTGGGACCGCAAATGTTCTAAAAACCCTCTGAATTGGCATCATTACCAAAGCCACTTGACAGACAAGATGAGCAAGTCTCAGAGTGTTTATGTGGAATCCTCAGAAGCATACATGAACATCTGAGCGGTTTTGAACCTCGGTCTCAGAACCTGGCGTCCCATGTGTTTCTATTGTTCGCTGCATGGGCTCAGAGAAGGTAGGTAAAGGTAGGTGAAGGAAGGTTTGGTGATACTGATGTTCTTTCCCTGCGGTCACAGGAGCCCTACTGTCAAGGAGGGAGCAGGAAGGGGACAGCATTTTCCCCTTTGCCCTTTGTGTTTTGCTTGCTATTATCCACTTCCAACTTTGACACTTTGTCTTCCTATTCCTCCAATGCCATGTGCCCACACATGATCAGCACAAACAAGCAGCCATTCCATTAGCCCATCTTCAAGACCTATGTTCCCAATTCACAGGTAACTGGGGAGTCCAGACAGTGATAATTGCAGACCTTTCCTCCAATTTCACACAAGTAAAGAGCTTTTACAATTTAACACAGCCCCTTTCTCCAATTATGTCACATTTCAGACAAAATGCTTGAGCCTCAACATTTCCTTTGGCAATCCATGCCTCTACAGAACAGATGGGGGTTCTGAGATAAGAGCCTCCTCTGCACAGACAGTTCCTGTAGGGAGGCGATGGGGGACAGAACAAACATCCGTAAGCCCTCAGCTTCTACAGACAGACCCTTGGGGGCCCTGGCCCCTCCCAGGGGCTTTCCTGTTCCAAGTTGCATGCCCAGGTGAAGTAAGATGGATCTGAACTGTGAATGGAAATGCACCAAACTGTTGTGACTGTCAGAGCCCACATTAATGGAGGCCCCAACACAGCAGCTGGGCAGACACCAACATGCAAGTCTCCTAGTGATGAATTTGCCAAGCAGTTTGAAGAAAAGTTAGGAAATATGCAGCCCTCAATGTCCAAGATCAACGCCACCACCTTGGGAAGCCTTCTCTGCTTCCACTCACTTACCCACCCACTAGGCAATGAACGTGCTTTCCTGTAGACCCCCAGAGGACATTGTTTAGGCTTTCACTCACCATAGAAAATTCAGATTAGTTGACTTGTGTCCGGTACCATACTATATTGTGAGAGCACATTCCATATCTTATCCATCTTATATCCCTAGTCTCTGGTTTCTGGCACTTAGTAGCTGCTTAATATATGTTCACCTAATGAATGAACAAATAAATAAATCATATGATATGGCATGGCAAGACAGCTACCTGCAGCTATTGGAAGATTGTCATGCAAAGAAAGATTGTTTATGGCCTTTGTGCAATACTGGATGAAATGAGAATCAAGCAGTGGATGTCATGATTTTAATAATGTAAAGTAGAGGGGTTTTGTTTTTGTTTTAGCAGCCCAGTCACTGAGAGGTTGAGATGAGTCAGCTGCCTTGGGGGAAGCAGCGAGATCCCCTTCATGGACAGGGTTTAAACCAGAAACTGAAGGAGAATAAATAAAGATTTTCTAAGAGGATTCAGGTGCAGACATTTGGAGGGGTGACCGGTCTGGACACTTTTAAGGTTTCTTCCAACCTTGAGACTCTGTACTTTCAGGATTTGTTTTTATTCACCTGCATGGCTGCTTTATTGGTCTGAATATATATGGGGATATTTTTCATCTTCCAAAGTAATCTGAAGGCAGCCTCTCCGTTTACCCATGGAGCTTTTGGTGGGAACGGTGGATTGACTTATAGTGGGGCTGACTCGTATGTTGCATGATTCACTGTGCTCTATAGATGTCCCCAAACACATATATCAGTGTCTGCTGTTCCAGGATGACACTGTTATTTCCCAACCTGTGCAAATGCAGCTGTAAAAAATGTTGCATGGCCAGGCTTCCCTTCCCCAGAGTGTAGAGAGAGAGCACACACCCTCTGGTTTAACACGCCCATGAGGCACACACCCCCTTTTCTGAATTTCAACACTCAGGTTCAAGTCTATTAAGAAGAGAAGAGAATTGCAAATGAACTCACATTACTGGCCAAACGAAGCCAGCCTCCCTCCTAAATTACTGCGTATATTAAGTCTGTGGGCTGCAGAAACTCCTGCACCATCTGTGGCTCCCTGGAAAATCAAAAAGGTTTCCAGCAGTTTCAGCACACAAGCAGGCTCTGAGACTTCTCTCTTTGTTAGAGATTTGATTCGAACTGTGTCCGTTAGCAGTGAAATACAAAAGGAAAAAAAGTCAGTATGGTATAGCTTTGAAATATTTTAGCAAGCGCCACAGGAAAGAATAATAGACCATAAATTGCTGCATCTGGCCTTAAATTTATGAAGAAAACAATAATGCAAAAAACCAAGAATGTTACTGTCCTTTGTCATTTAAAAAGATAGTTTTGACTCCTTATCAGTTTTTGTTCACCCTTTCACTACACCAATTGTGAAACTGCAACAAAGGCAACATCCCTTTCTCCCCACCCCACCCCCATTAAGCAATAAATTTTGCCGAAAAACTCACACATATTTGAGCAGCAAAGAGATTGGGAAAAGTTGAGAGTAGTAAGGACCCCACCCCATCCCAAAGACAAGATGTGTGCGTGGGTTTCTGGTTAGGAAACAAAGCCAGGAGCTACCTGGAGGGCCTGTGCCATTGAACCTGAGGTGTGAAGCGGCCATCTGAGCTCAAAGTGAAACCCCTCCACCTCTCCCCCAGCCACTCTCTTTCTATGAAAGGTGCTATTGAATCATGTCATCTCCTAATAGAAGCTGACTGTGGAGAGAAGGATGGGGCCTGACTCCATGTTCTTATCTTTTATGCGTGCTCAGAAGTCCAGGACCAATTTTATTCTATTTTGCACATTGGGGCAATCATCTTGGACTGAGTTATAATAAACACGAGATTTTTTTTTTCCCTCCTAAAGCCACTCCTTGCTGTGCTGCTCAAAATAATTTCCCCATCTGACAAAAGCACCACATGCCAGTAGGCCTGTTCTGCGTGGACTCTCTGTCCGCGTCTTACCCAGATACTGTGATGGTTTAGTCTCAACTCTCCCTGCCCAGGTGCTGCTGTACCTGCCAGAGAGATTTCTGCAAGAAATCATGATGGGCAGTGCTAATGAATAATGGAGACGGGTAGGGGAGGAGACTCTGGCTGGAAGGTCAGCTGGGGGTAGATTGTGGAGGGTCTTGAGTGCCTCCATCAGGTATCTGGACTTAATTCAAAATGGCATCCACCTCCACCCACGTGTTTGCCAGGAGACGAGGCCCCAGCTGCGTTTACAGCTGACTCTGGTGGCCACATTGCCAAGGAGGTCCTTAGGGGAGGGTTGGTTCCTTACTCCTCTTCCAGTGAGTAAGTGCCTGGCACCATCAGTTTTAAGTGATTAATGAATGAAACACTCTGCTTAAATGATATCAAATACCCTGATGAAGACTGGAAAAGAATATTAAGCACACAGCTCATAAACCACACACTAAACTCTAGCTTCCCCAGCATCTGCATTTTATAAAACAGCTGGAAGGGTAACTAAAGTTTAAACTCTTCTTCCTGATTCTTGTGAAGATACAGACAGCCTTTGGCCACCAGATTTTTCTAAGCCAACACAGGGACACTATTTGCACACTATTTTTCATGAAATGTGGTCATTTACATACATTTGCATAGTGCTTTCAAAAAGCCTTAATTCCAAGTATGTCAAATAAAATAAAACAAATTAGTGTAATCTACTGCCATTGTATAGCAGCTCAGCTTGGAGATCTTGGCAGTGGTGGCGGAAGAGCCAAGAATCAGTTTTTAAGAAGCTCCGACAACCCAGATTTAGTGTATCCAGGGGTCAATAGACACAGTAAAGTCTGAGAACAGGGAACTCTTTGGGGGCAGGGTCAAGTTTCAAGTGTCTGGATAGTGCTAGTAGTTGACAAATCCCAGTTATATCTCTTATTTAAGTCTCACAAAAACCTGTGTACTTGGTAGGGCTAGGATTGTTAAGAACTTTTCTACAAGGGGATCGGAGGGGTCAAGTGGATTGCCTAGTTATAGCCTGGTAAATAGTCCTGCCAACATGCAAACCTAAGACAATTCCAAATCCAGGCCTCATGGACCTCAGAGCCTTGTTGCTCTGAGAATTGATCCAGAGTTGCCTTGAGAAGAGGTAAAATGTCCCTATTTGCTGGTTGTTGTGTTTTCTTCATTTTTTTTGTTGTTTGTTTTGTTTTATTTTGTTTGTTTTTTTGAGACAGCGCTTCACTTTTTTTTTTTTTTTTTTTTTTTTTTTTGAGACGGAGTCTCGCTCTGTCGCCCAGGCTGGAGTGCAGTGGCGGGATCTCGGCTCACTGCAAGCTCCGCCTCCCGGGTTCACGCCATTCTCCTGCCTCAGCCTCCCAAGTAGCTGGGACTACAGGCGCCCGCCACTACGCCCGGCTAATTTTTTGTATTTTTAGTAGAGACGGGGTTTCACCGTTTTAGCCGGGATGGTCTCGATCTCCTGACCTCGTGATCCGCCCGCCTCGGCCTCCCAAAGTGCTGGGATTACAGGCGTGAGCCACCGCGCCCGGCCAGCGCTTCACTCTTGTTGCCCACGCTGGAGTGCAATGGTGCAGTGTCTGCTCACTGCCACTTCCACCTCCCCGTTTCAAGTGATTCTACTGCCTCAGCCTCCCAAGTAACTGGGACTACAGGCATCTGCCACCACACCCGGCTAATTTTTTGTATTTTTAGTAGAGACAGAGTTTCACCATGTTGTTCAGGCTGGTCTCAAACTCCTGATCTCAGGTCCTCAGGTGATCCACCCCCCTCGGCCTCCCGAAGTGCTGGGATTATAAGCATGAGCCACCATGCCCAGCCCTTATTTACTATTAATCCAGCATCTCCTCTTCAGACACCACACTGCCACTGGGAAGCGATGTGAGGGAACCCCCTATTGGCTCTGGAAGAGCGTTACCCAGCCTGTGATGCATCTGGCCCTAAGTAATTGTCTTTTTATAGTTTGAGACAGTTATTTGAAAGTTATGGTAATGGGGTGAAAATATAAGCAGCTTATAGTTTACTAGAACATTAATCCTCTGGGGATGATTTCTTTTCTTCTCCGTGCATCTCCATGGGACCTTTTTCATTGCATTGTGTGAAATTTATTTTTAGACTTTTCTCCCTGTGATCTATCACTGGCCCACCTCTGCCTAATTATTAATTTCCATATTTGCTAAGCTATATAGAAAGGGTTCAAGTGCAGGTCAGGCCAGATTTTGGACCAAGGACCCAGGACCTTTTCAGCAGAGGCTCAGGGGAGACACACAATGGGAAGTAGGAGTCAAATCCAAATGGGCTTTGGAAGCAGTCAGAGCTGAGTTCAAATCCTGGCTCCTTTATCTTTGATAACTTGGCCTTGGCCTCTCTGATATTGAGTGTCTTCAGTCACGCACCTGTAACCCCTAGATGCCCAAACTGATGCTCTAAGACTAATCCTGTAAATTTGGGTAAGCCTGTATGTGGACAGGCATGGGCAGGACCAAGGAGTCAGCTACTATAACCAGCAGCCCTAGGATGCAGAGGAGACTTCCAGGGCCGACTTATTCATGAGAAAGAGGAATGCACAGTGCCTAGGGCCACAGTACTTTTAGGAGCCCAAGGAAACTTTTTAATTTCTTGAAAAATCAGAAGAAAAAAATGAACTTTTGAGTTTAATAAAATGGTTTAAATATATGACATTAATATACTTTGTATGCATTAATATATGCTATTAATATATTTATCTCAATTACTGATGCAATTGTAAAACAGAATTTTTAATTTTTTTTGTATAAAGGATCCCATAATGGCAAAAGCACCCAGGGCCCCCAAAAGTCATAACGCAGCCCTGGGAGTTCTTGCCCAGTCCTCTGTTGTCTCCTGGGCACCCACTCCTCCTTTGTTCAATCCTCATCTGTTCATTTGCAAAAGAGCTTCCAAATCAGGCAGCCTTGGGCTGACCTAGCTCCCAACATTTCATGATGCCCAGTGAGCACCCACGGGGCAGGTCCTTTACATCAGTGTGACCTTTGGTTTGCCCAGACTTGGCCACCTGCCTGCCCTGCATCTTGCACCAGCCAGTATCATTCCACATTCTTCAGTTTCCTTCATGTTCCTGCCCATAACCCTCAACCACCTCAAGCCAAGCAATAAAAGAGAAGAGGGGAGAGTTCATAAATGGAGCTCCCGATTCACTCTCTGTCCTACCCCCAAAAGCCTCCCCACGTAGGACTGTTCTGGCAGACTAAATAAACATTCCAATGGCAATCACGTTGCTCTCTACTGTAGTTTATTTTATGTGAACATTTGAGAAAACAGTAGAACCAATGCCAATTCATATGACTTTCTGTGACTCAGTTTCTCCTTTTGCAAATTGGGCGTAACAAGAGCAATCTGGTAGAAACAGTAGGAAAAGAAATAAAATTACAACCTGGAGAACGCAGAATGCCCTTCAGAAGAAACATCCTAGGTACGTTTGAAGTTATTATTAGCATGACTATCAGTGAGCTCAAGCCTCTCAGAGTGCCTGGGGCATAAGGACTTCCTGTATTTATAAGGCTACACGTCAGCCTCCTCTTCCTTCCTGATTCACCATCAATTGCTTTCACCACTACTAAATGGGCCCTGAGCTCCAGTTATTCTCAGTTTATGCCCACAACCTGTGAAAGGGTGAGTGAGCCAGTGGTGGGTTAATTTCAGGAGACTAGCCCCTTTCCAACCATCCTGAGGGCCTCAGTCAGTCTCCCAGGAGGCCTGCACCCTAAGGGGTGAGAAATTGGGAGCAAGAAGCAAAGCCAGCGGGCAAAGGAGGGCAGAGGCTGTAAGGAGAAAAACCCAGAATTGTATTAAACAAACAAACCCTTCCCCCAAACTGGAAGGGAGCCAAAAGACCAAAGAAAGACTCGGTGGCAAGTAGATGAGTTTATTTGGCCTTACATACGGGGCACTCCTGGGCGGCAGCAGAACAGCTCTAAAGATCCAGCCCGCCTCCCATCTCTAAGCTGCTTTTAAGCTAATTTTCTGGCTCTTTGCCTACTGTATGTATGCAATGGAACTGTTTTCCTCATTGGTTCTCAGATACTCTCTGGGAGGTTTGCATTCTCAGGGACACCTGCTCCCTGGCAGGCACCATGGCCTTGGCTCACAGCCTGGTCTTCAGGGTTCAGGCAGCAGGCATAGACCCTTAAGTAACCTGTGACACTACAGAGGCAAACAAGGAGAAAGAGGAGAAGTGCAAGAAGCGAAAGTTTAGTTAAAAATGCCACAGGGATGGGAAAGGACGCCCTCAAATGTCTAGTGTCACCCAAGGCTGATGCCTTCATTCTCTGTTCCACAGTCATCCTTTGAGCAGGACACACAGGACGTGCTCCCAGACCCCCTGCAACTTCATCACACTGTAGCCACCATGTGGCAATTAACCTTACCCAGTGGTAGAGTCACGCTTTGTCCCTTTCAGGTTTCAAGTTAGAATCAGAGATCTTCGACCTGGAAGGGACATTGAGAATCATTTGTCTAACACTATGTTTTTACAAATTAAAAAATTGAAACCCAGAAACTTAAGGGGCTTGTCCAAGTTCTCACAACAAAGAAATCAGGACTAAAATCCCAGATCTCCTAGTGCCCAGTCGAAAGTTCATTTCACTGTTAAGCATAAGGTTTTTAGGTGCGTACCCTTCCCACATGCTTAGGATCTAGGTGTGCTTTTACTCTCATTATTTTATGCATCCTGACACCAACCAGGCCTGGAAAACGTGTACTACATCCCCATTTTTACCAGTGAAAAAGCAGAGGCTCAGAAAGGCTAAGGGAGAGTACCCAAGACTCAAGGGAGAATATTGAAGATCGCCAGGTCATTGTGGCAGAGCTGGAATCAAACCCAGTCTCACTTACCAATACTCTCAGACAGTGCACTTCCCTCCATCCCACACTGCCTCAAAGCCTACTGTCCAGAGCTCTGTGGTTATGGATATTGTGAAGGAGCAAGGATTCCCATCCATGTTTATAGGCAAACTTCTGGCCCAACCGCATTCATGCTCAGAAGTCTCAACATTTTTTTTTTTTTAATTTATCAGAGGAAAGAAAGTAACAATAGAGTTGATGGGCAATTTGTGTAATTAACACCCCAAATCTCCTAGTACCATAAGGTTTTTGGATTCAGTGCATTCTCCCAACAGATGCTCTTTTTACCGGTCAAGTGTCATTATCACGAGGATTATAATGGAGTGGAAGAGAATGGCTGCCGGAGACCAGAGGGTAGGCAGGATATGGGTTTGTCATTAGTGGTCTTGGGTGCACTTCGGTGCACCTATGAGCCTGCTTCCTGTGAAGATTTTAATGATGAAACCAGCGAGCTCTAGAGAAGGATTTGGACATCTGCTTCTCAATTAGTGTTAATTTAGCTTGTTTGGAAATGATTTGTGCCTCTACAAGACAACATAACTGAAAGTTGTTTTCTTTCCTATGATCATAACTTTTTACTCTTCTCACAATGGGCCAGATGAATGCAGCAGAGGGGCATTCCTGGGCTGCAGAGGAACATTCCTGGGCTGCAGAGGAACAGTGGATAGTCCTGTTCCTGCCAATTTGGAAAGACATTGTTGCTCCTTAGTCTCAATGCAACTGTAATGCCCAAATCAAAGTCTTGAGAAATGTCCAGCCCCTTCCAAAGCACTTCTTGGAAGCAGGTAATTGGCCCTTTTATGGTTGTTACCCCAGGGCAGATGTTAAGGTGGTATACACAGCTACAATCATGCTGGTTATTAAAACATTGACATATTTCCAGATCAATTGAAAAATAGCCATTTCTCCAAGCCCTACAAGTGCTCCATCACCTCTTCAGCTTCCCCAGACTCAGGGATCCCAGATGAGCACTGATCAAGAGCTTCCCTGGTACCCAGGCACCCACAACCTGCCAGTCAGGCCTTCATGGCCCCTGCATGCCTGCCCCATTCCTACATGTCCCCCAGCCAGGGCGGGCCCTGCCCTGCTAAGGGAGACACCATCCCTTACAGTGACACCGAGCCCTAGCAGGCTAATGCCCACTCTGTGATTCCCCCAGAGGCACCTAAAGTGATTGATTGCCAAATGGTTTTAATGGCACTCTGCCTTTGAGTTCCTTTGTGAGGTACACAGGGAGACCCCTGCTCTATGCTCTTCACAGGGGCCCAAGCAGATGTGCTGTATTCTTGTTGGCTCTGAAGTTGACATAGACAGATCTAGAGTAGGTTCTGCCCCTGAGCAGGGCGTGCCAGCACTACCTCTTACAGTGTTCAGGTGAGCAATGCTGGAGCCTGATGGCCAGACCCGGCCTGCAGGGACAAACTGGGTTGAGTGTGATGGGAAGTCCAAGTCCAAGTTGGCTATTGAAGCCGGAGACTTGGCCAGCCAGAGCCTGGAGGCACACAGGAGTCAGGAAAGGCAAGAGGGAGCGAGAAATGGACAAAATCTGATGTTCTTGCCCCTCAAATCAGAGTCCATACACAAGGATCTGTGAGTTCTCTATGATAATTTAAATGATCTCATATTGATGATAATCTAAAAGAAAGTCATTTTTGCCTCTACCTTTGCGCTTGTGTTCTGGATCACTTTGGCATCAAAGAGTGGTGCTTTAATAGTTATCAGACTTAAAGACAGAAGCAAGGTAGACTTGTCAAGGGTTCATGCCCTTGAAGGTCAAATGATTGCAGGGGACCCTGACAAGAGAAGGGTTTGCAGCAGTTGCATACCAAAAACTCTTAGAAGAATTGATTCATCAGCCAGGCACTGTGGCTTATGCCTGTAATCCCAGCACTTTGGGAGGCCAAGGCAGGCGGATCACCTGAGGTTGGGTGTTTGAGACCAGCCTGGCCAACATGGTGAAACCCTGTCTCTACTAAAAATACAAAAATTAGCTGGGTGTGGTGGCAGATGCCTGTAATCCCAGCTACTCAGGAGGCTGAGGCAGGAGAATTGCTTGAACCCAGGAGGCAGAGATTATAGTGAGCGGAGATCGCACCACTGCACTCCAGCTACTTGGCAACAGAGACTCCGTCTCAAAAAAAAAAAAAAAAAATTGATTCATCACGTAACCTACGTAACATGGGCATATCAATCATCTGAAAAGATGTGTATTAGTGGTTTTTTTTGTTTTTGTTTTTGAGATGGAGTCTTGATCTGTCACCCAGGCTGGAGTGCAATGGCACGATCTCGGCTCACTGCAACCTCCACCTCCCAGGTTCAAGTGATTCTCCTGCCTCAGCCTCCCGAATAGCTGGGATTACAGACACTCACCAGTACGTCCGGCTAATTTTTTTTTTTCTTTAGTAGAGACGGGGTTTCACCATGTTGGCCAGGCTGGTCTCGAACTCCTGATCTCAGGTGATCCTCCTGCCTTGGCCTCCCAAAGTGCTGGGATTACAGGCGTGAGCCACCATGCCCGGCCAAAGATGTGTATTAGTTTTCCATGATTGCTAGAATGGATGGCTTATTCACTCAAAGTTCTGGAGGCTAGACATTCAAAATCAAGGTGTCAGCCAGGCCATGTTCTCTCTGAGACTCTGGGTAGAATCCTTACCACTTCCTAGCTTCTGGTGGTGGCCGTCAGTCTTTGGCATTCCTTGCAGCCACATCCCTCCCACTTCTGCTTCTGGCCTGACATGGCCTTCTCTCTGCACGTATCTCCCATCCTTTTTTTTTTTTTTTTTTTTAACAAGAACACCAGTCCCGTTGGATCAGGGCCCACCCTAATGACCTCACCTTAATTTGATTACATCTGCAGAGACCCTATATGTGGTCACATTCACAGGTGCCAGGAGTTAGGATTTCAACACATCTTTTTGGAGGACATAATATAATCCATTATAGAACCTGAGTAGGAGCCGTCTATTCTCTATCTGTCTGTCCTGTGAGCAGCGATATTGTTTCAGCAAATAGCACCTTCCATCGCATTGAATTGATGTGTTAATTTAAACAGTATGGTTTTATACATTTATATTTATTTTTTATTAATTATTGAATTATTTTTGTTTGGTTTTAATAGTCAAGTAAGAGCTATAAGCATAAGGAGTTTATACCCACGTTTGTGCTTTACATTTTAAAATAATATGAGAATACATAATTTGTCAGCTCAGGCAGTCCTTGACAATTGTCACCTGTTCTATTTAAAGCAGCTACATGTTGTTTCAGTACTAGAAACCCTGGAGTCCAGATGAATTCCAGATGTGAGAAGAGACTGTGCCTTTTCTAAGCTTGATAGGTGGTCAGATTTCAAGTTCCTAAGGACCTGTGTACTCTCAGGACTTGCAGATGTCCTCGAGGTAAATGTTGAATTTTGAAATGACCTGGAGCCAACACCAGTTCTCTCAGCAACAATATCTGGGCTACAGAGGAGTCAGATTCTGGCTTGGAGTCCCACAGGCAGGGCTGGTCTGGAGATAGCCAAGCTCCAGAAAGATGGGTGGCCCCTGGAGCCCTAGGGAAGAACTGGCATCTATAATAGAACAAGCCCACAGTGCTCTCCTCCCCAAATCAGTAGGAGCGCTGGGGGATATTGTAACCTACTCCATTGACCCTCATGGCCCTGAGGACAGGTTTGCTCTCAGCACCCCAGCAAGACAGCCAGAATGTCAGTCTAAGGTATTTGCTTCATGTTCTTTGATCAGAAATGGATGGCAGACACTAGTGGAACTTCTTAGCTCCACCTACATATTCCTGAAGGCAGCCCTCTGAAGGTCAGGTGGGATCTGGGAGAGTAGCCTTCAACCATTGGCAGCAAATTACTGCAAATTTCTTTGCTTTCTATTTGAACATTTCTTTGAGTTTTGTTTGAATTTTAAAATGTTTGAATCTCATGCTTTAAAAAAATATTAAACTTGTCTTCTCAAAATAATTTGATTAAAATTGATGCTTCTGAAAGATATTCCAGGTTTTTCCTATGTCATGGTGCCTGCTACCAGTCTTATTCCCTTCTCACCTGCAATCTCCAATTAGTGCAGCACTAAATAACAAATAGCTATGGGACATTTTTCTTCTATGACCAGCTCATGTGAACAAAACACTGTATATGGAACAAGATGACCTGGTTCAAACTCTAATACTTATAAGATGTTTGAACTTTGAACTTACATCTAACTACACTGAGCCTCAGTTTCCTAATCTGGAAAATGAGTATTAATATGATAATACCTGCAGGTCTTCCTCATTGGTGGTGTTATGAAGATTGAATAAAATAATGTCAGTCTAAGGTATTTGCTTCGTGTTCTTTGATCAGAAATGGATGGCAGACACTAGTGGAACTTCTTAGCTCCGCCTACATATTCCTAAAGGCAGCCCTCTGAAGGTCAGGTGGAATCTGGGAGAATAGCCTTCAACCATTTGCAGCAAATTCCTAATCTGGAAAATGAGTATTAATATAATAATACCTGCAGGTCTTCCTCATTGGTGGTGTTATGAAGATTGAATAAAATAATGGGTATAAAAGCTTTTCAAAATATAAATGACTGTTTGAATCTGAGTTAGTTTTGCCGCTTGTCTATGCCCTTCAGCCAGAGACCACCAAAGATAATCTATAGTTAAACAAGTTTGGTTGATTACTAATTGTAGCATGAAGAATAAACATGTAGAGTGTCTCAGTAAGAGGGTGTTAGAAAGAACCTATTATGGAATTTGGGCTTTGTTGGGTAATTTGAGGTGGGGCTTAGGGAAGCAGGACTTTGCTCTGAATTGGATGGTGTCATTAGGTAGCAGCAATTCTATAATTGTTTATCTCAATAAACCTCCATTGAGAAGAAAGACTAGAATGAGGATAAAGCTGTATTTGGTAAAGAAGCAGGAGTAACTCATTTTGGTCAAGAGAAGATGTTTGGCATTTTGGAGGTAACACAGTGATCTTATCTTTGTCTGTACTTAGAAGTGGCCTCGCTTTGTCTCATTTTATCAAGATCTCAGACAAGCCTTGTCTGAACTTGGTATTCTGCATTCTGTGTCTAATGGGAGAATCACATGGCCTACCTGTGAGTCAGGCCAGCTTCTGAATGTCAGAAGCTGCTCTTTTATTTCTCACATTACGTATGTTCAAACCAACAGATTCTCTGGAGAAACATGGGCCCACGTGGGGGTTCAAAAATAGATGTACTCAGCATATCTAAGAGACAGAAGAAAGAAGGGAGGGAGAAAAATGAGGAAGGAAGGAGAAACATAAAGGGGGAAAGAAGTTGGGAGGCTGTAGAGTGTTCACATGTCCTCCAAGACTCCCCAAGAGCTCTGGAAGAACTAAAATGGATCGAGTGATTTCCGCTTCTAAGAGGCCACCATTAGAAGGCAGCATCACATGGTTGGCCGAGAAAACACCAACACCATTTGATTCCCTTAAAGGGCACCACTTGAATCAAATCCTGGGACTGGTTGTAGATTTGACCTCTTTTGGCACCCCTCACTACCTCTGTCACTCCTGCTGAGTTCCATGTCATACAGATCTTCGGGCCTGTGCTCCCTAAGTGGTTTGAGGGGAAGGATTCCAGAGCCATTTTCTCCTCTGGCTGGTCTGTGATCACAGTGCACAGATGTTCCATAAAACTTTAAAATGACTAAGCCATTTATCTCTGGTGGCTAATCAAGCAGGTTTAAAGAATTCCGAGGTATCAAGGAACCACAAGTGCAGAGTGGAAATTGAATTGTGGTCACAGATACGATTGGGCCATTAAAAGCCAAACTTGATGGGCTAAGAGAGAGTTATCAGCTGATGAGCGAACATCAATATGATAGCAAAAAAACTGGCCTCTGTTGAAAGGGGCTTTTCTCAAAGGCCTCATGATACCCAGTAGAAGATGAACTCTTGATACCTGCTGTCTCTCTGTTAATAGCTTCAGTTGAATCAGATTAATTTAAAGGGGCTAATGAAAATGATGTAGGAGAAGAGTTTGGAGGTAATAATTTGATGCAAAGGTATTGGCTTAAAGATGATGACGTTATAAAACCAGTCCCCTGGGGAATAGGCAGAGAGAACTGGGAAGTGATTAGGAAGCAGGGGGTTCCCGCTCTCAAGGGTTCTTGCCTCCCCTCTGCCAGTGCACCGTGCCTTTCTCAGACAGGAGCATGTGGCAATATCAGCTGACATTTATCAGTAAGAATTTTATCAGTAAGGTTCCTGGGGAATTGAAGTATTTGAATACATGGCACACGGTAGGCTCAATATCTATTTTATTTAATGAATGAATGCCAAGTAGTAGAGACTCTTTGTTTCCTTTATTGGTTAGCTCATTTCCACTGTGTTTTGGGTAAAGACCCAAATCTTAAAATGATACTGGAATGATACTTAAATTCCAGTATCATTTGCTTGATACTGGAATTTCTAAGGAGTTCCAGTCTTCCCAATGGTTTTATAATATTTGTATCTTGCCTTTTTCTTTCATTTCCAGGAAAAGTTCTCCAGATGTGCTTACAGTGCCTTCTTTGCTTCTTCCTATCATTTTTTCGACCAAAGTTATACTCAAACCAAATCTTAGCATTATGAAAGCCATGTCTTATACAGAAAAATAAAAATCCTTAAGACAAAGGTGGAAAATTACGTAGTTAACAAGTGGGAGGTAAGGTGACCAAATGGACTCCACTGTTACTTCTTTAAGGGTCAGAGTTACCCAGGTCTGTCTAGCTGGCTGCTCTTGTCACAGTTCCTCAGTCATATTGGCATAAGGGAGAAGCTTGTGTTGCTTTTGGTGTTAAACATACCTGTATTCAAATCTTAGCTCTAGCTTTTTTTTTTTTTAAACCACCGTGACCTTGAATTGACTTCATAAAATTTTCCCAAACTTCTGTATTTTTATGTTTTCAGGAAAAAGATTGGGAGAGGGGGTAATATTTGACTGTGTTGCTGCCAAAACTAGATGAGAACGTGGATATGAAAGCACCTGGCATTGCACCTGCATGTTCAAACTTTTTTTTTAATCTTACGAAGTGCTCAGTTTTATCCTCTTGTTGGTGGCATCTGGCAGGGCTGCCTCTGACAGAGGCATATAGGCATTACTCTTGAGGTAGACTCAGCAGAGAACAACCTGGATGGTGCTGAAGACTCCTAGGAGACTGTTGAGAGATGAGTTTTGAAGTTCCAGTAGGAGGGTTCATGGTTCCTGGGGAATTTAATTATTTAAATACTTGCCACATAGTAGGCTCAATGTCTGTTTTGTTTAATGAATGAATGACAAGTAGTAGAGACTCTTTGCTTCCTTCGTTTGGTTAGCTCATTTCCACCGCGTTTTGGGTAAAGACCCAAAAATACACTGGTAGGAGGGGTAATGGACTGCTAAACTGAGAGGTCCCAAGGGCTTTGCTTGATATGGGTCAGCTGCATTCATGAACAGCCCTGACCTAACAACCAGGAGATCTGAGTGCTTTAAATAATTGTGTAACCTTGGGCAAATCAGTTCAATTCTCTGAATTTCAGTTTCCTTATCTATGAAATGACAGCTTTGAGCTAGAAGATTTCTATTATTCCTTCCAGTTCTAATGATCTGTGATCCAAAATTGACTGTTCTCTTGCAAATGGATTCCCCATGGACCTAATGGAAAAAGGCACAATGGCCTCATCATTCAACCCTGAGCTCAGCAATGTCCATTAGAATTGAAAGGCGAGCCTCCATTGAAAGTGGTTATTATACATGTTGGGGGCTGATCAATGCCTTTCCTTTGTTGGTGAAGTGTTATTTTGATAAAAACTTATCTTATGAATTTTAATCATGTAGATTGTCAGTACTCCTCAAACTCTAAAGACCAAACCATTGTTATTACTTATTGACTGACTTACAGCCAGGTCAAAGAAACAAGTCCCAAACACTGGCAGCTGAAATATTTATGATGCAACTAGTGTTGCTTCCAAGTAATGTACACTGTATTCAAAAAGGAACACATTATGGCAAGCCAGGGCTTAAATTGATGAACGTGTTTCCATTTTAGCCATGCAAATTATGCATCAGAGAACAATCAATATGAATTTGATATTCCCAGGAGACAAAGCAGGCGTGGGAGTGGGCCCCGGGACTAATTCTACTTTCTCATCTTTCAGAAAAGGAATGAACTATCCTCAACATACTACCCTAGCCTCCGTCTCATTTGCATTAGGTCATTATGCTCTTCCATCCAAAGGACAATATGCCCACTTGGAGTGTATCATATAGATATATAAGATTGAGATTAGGAGTTAGTTTCTTAAAATATTCAGTTAAAAATTTTATGCATTCCCTTTCCAACCAAGGATAATACCGTAAATATTCTGGTACAGGTGCAAGTGGTGAAATGATATGGAAAGCATCCTGTATAAAACTCCAGGCACAAGCAAGCATCCCCTTCTCCATGCTTTGCCTTTTCAGTACTTTACAAAGCACATTGACTGGTTCCAACTCTTGAGAGATTGGTGCAAAAAAACTCTGAGTTTTAAAATATCTTGTAGATATTCCATTAAGCCGGGCCTAAGAGATCCAGAAAGTCTTAATTGCAGACAGGATGGATGTGATATTTCTTTTGTTCATTTATTTGTTCATTCATTAAACAGTATCCATTAATTGCCTTTTTATGCCAGGAAATAAGTTCCTATTATAGTCTGGGTATACCCATACCCATAGATTCCATTTTCCTTCCAGAATTGACTTATTAGCTGTACCTCATCATTTCATTTTTTTTTTTTTAAGTTGACAAACTATGACTCCCAGGCCAGCCACCTGGTTTTGTAAATTTTATTGGAACACAGCCATGCTTACCTGTTACATATTTTCATGCTGCAATGGCAAAGTCTAGCAGGGGATGCTATTTGGGCTATATTGCCCTCAGTGATTAAAGAGGAAAGAGATACATTTTCTTCCAGCCTTTAGCAAAAGAGCAAAGTTTATCAATCAGTGAGCAAACACTTATTAGGCACTTCAGCAAGGCCTCGAGGTAAGCACTTGGGGGGAACAATTTGGTATTCTCTCAGATATAGTATCAAGCCTCCTAATGGCCTCATGTTTCCTCCTCAAAACCCTCTAGAAACTTGCCACCTAAAGTGTGGTCAACATCCGTCTTGTCTGGGAGCTTGTTAGAAATACAGACTCTCCAGCCCCACCCTACACTAATGAATCAGAATCTGCATTTTAACAAAATTCTCCTGTCCACTTCTATGCATGCTAAAGTTTGAGAAGCACTGCTGCAGACCAAAAGGGCCTGAGAAACAATCACTTGGCTGATCAAAGAGTATTCACAGGGGGCATCCTGAAGTCCCTACTATGGGTTCAATAGTGTCATAACAGCCCCTAGTTATTGTTAAACTTTGCCTGGTCACTTTGGAAATAAATAGGGATTATCTCTAAGGGTCCTATAAAGAGGACTTTTTTGTTAATTGTGTGAAATCATAGATGGTACAGCTGGGAAGGATCTTATTGACTATCTATTTCCTGCTCATACAGATAAGGAAACCCAGAGCAGGGAAATGATCAATAGCTCATAGCTAGTAAGTATGAGAGCTGGAGTTAGAACTAAGGTTTCTGAATGTATTATCTAGTGCTTACTCACCCCCACTTCACTGAGCAGTGAAGACAGGGGGTGAAGCACATGTTTAGACAAATGTTTAGATGAATCACTCCAGATCAATTGATGCGCAATGGATCCATCGGTTTAAAAAAAAAAAAAAAAAGGAAAAGGCTACATCTAGTTTACCATTGGGTTATCCATTGCTTAGGGTCAAGTTGTCAAGGGGAGAAAATGGAATTATAGGAACATGGCCAGTTTGTACCACAATTAGTGCCATAGCATGAGTCAGGGACAATGTGGAGACTGACCAAGTTTAATCATTAAATAAATGACCTCGTTATCATACAAATCTGAGGTTGATTGTCCATTTGCATTGCTATAAGTGATACCTAAGACGGTAATTTATAAAGAAAAGGGCTTTATTTGGCTCAAGGGTCTGCAGGCTGTACGAACATGGAACCAGCATCTGTTCGGCTTCTGATGAGGCCTCAGGAAGCTTACAGTCATAGCAGAAGGGGCGGGGGAGCCTGCGTATCACATGGCAAGGGAGAGAGCAATGGGAAGATGGTGCCAGGCTCTTTTAAATAACCAGATCTCATGGGAACTAATAAAGTGAGAACTCAATTGTTATCACAAGGACAGCACAAAACCATTCATGAGGGATCCACCCTCATGACCCAAACACCTTCCACTACGACCACCTCCAACATTGGAGGCCACATTTCAACATGGCATTTGGAGGGGACAAAACATCCAAAGTATATTCTTTTCTGATATCCAAGAAATAGTTATCAGAGAGAGGCCTACCTGTAACCTAGGCTTCAGGGGTTGAGGTGGTAGCAGGGCAGGGGCATTCTCCTCAAAGTTTCTTCTGTGCTAGGATACACTCCCTCAAGCCCTATCCTTCAAGGGTCAGCTGAAATACTGGGATGGGATGGGATGGGATGGGACGGGACTGGACGGGACGGGACGGGACAGGATATTCTCTCCTCTACTGTCCTGGGAGCTCCTAAAGATAGAGTACACATCTGACTTGTATCTGGGTCCCCAAAGTGCCTATTACCTAGTAGGCCCTCAATCCTATTTGTTTTGTGGAACCTTTTGGGAGAAGCTTTCATAGTTCACAGATTGATTCAGCTTCCATCACAATGACTGCAGGAGCTTTGTGGAACCCCATATCTGCCAGCACCATCACCATGACCTAGTTATCATACAAATCTGAGGTTATAGACAGACCTACATGAACACTTACACAGTCCCTGTTGCAGTTCTTGCTTGCAGTGGCAATGGTATACATATTTCATATCCTGACCTCTGCTGAGTCAAGGGACAAGCAGGCGGTTTGCATAGAAGCCTGGGCAAAAAGAAAGGTTTGACCTCCTTGATTTGTCAGTCTCCATGTGCCTAGAATAAGTCATTATAAATGGAAAAAAATAAATCACTTCAGGGATTTTTATTTGGGACTTAATTTTAGCTAAAATTCGAATCAGTTGGCTACAGGAGTCAAGAGGATTGATTCCCATCTCCTCCTTAACCCATTAGCCTGAATGTTCTGTCTTGCACACTGTGGTCCTCTGTCTTGTAGACACAGCCTTAAATACACATTAACATTAATGACTCTTGGGAGATACAACCTGAGAGCACGTTATCTTCCCATATTTATCATTTGGTTAGATTTTCAAACCTCCTAGGTCCCTTTGTGTCTTATATCAGAAATCATTTGATTGAATCACCTAAATCAATTTTCCTTTACTTTCAGGTAGCTTACTGTTGTCCTTTGTAGCTCTTAGCTTATACTGATTCTCTTGTGTCTGGCATCTCCAGGTCTGTCTTTGGTGGAAGTGATTATGTTTCTAAGAACTCTTACTCTTATCCCTGAGATACAGAAGAAAAAAAAAAAAAAAGCCTCGCCTTGCCTTCTAGTGCAGCCTCTTTGTCCTCACCTTGCATTTCAGCCCAGCTGCAGTCAATCTGGAATGCTGACATACTGTACCAGGCTTGCTCTTGCTCGGCTGTTTGCCTTCTGAAGTTCCCGATCAAGGTGTCCAAAAACACAGGGTGTTAGGAAATTTGTTCAAATCAAAGTGAGTACATAGGAAAGCATACACAGTATTTGGCCTCTGCCTGCCCCATTCATTTCTTTGTTCATTCATTAAACAGTATTCATTAATTGCTCTCTTTATACCAGGCAATAAGTACCTATCACAGTCTGGGTATGCCCATAGATTCCATTTTATCTCCAGAATTGACTTACTAGCTGTATGTCATTGTTCTGTTTTTTAAGAGTTGCTCTAGGGCATGAGTGGGCAAACTGACTCTCAGGCCAGCCACCTGGTTTTATAAATAAAATTTTGTTGGAACACAGCCATGCTTATCTGTTACGTATTTTCTATGGTTGTTTTTATGCTACCATGGCAAAGCTGAGTAGTTGTGTTAAAGACTGTATGGCCCTCAAGCCTAAAACATTGACTATGTGGCCTTTTACAGAAAAAGTTTCCCTATCATTGGTTTACAGCATCCTTTGTATATTTTTAGTTGGTTGTCTTTTTATTATTGAGTTATAAGAATTCTTTATGTATTCTAGATACAAGTCTCATCAGATATATGACTTGCAAATATTTTCTCCCCATCTGTGAATTATCTTTTCAGTTTCCTGATGGTATGCTTTGAAGCAACAAGGTTTAAAATTTTGATAAATTCTAATTTTTCTATTTTTTTATTGCTGCTTATGCTTTTTTGTGTTATATCTAAGAATCCATTGCCAAATTTGAGGTCATAAAGATTCACTCCTATATTTCCTTCTAAGAGTTTTATAGTTTTAGCCTTTATATTGAAGTCTTTGACAACTTTAAGTTTTATATCTTATATGAGGTAGGGGTTCAACTTCATTTTGCATTGGATATGCCATTTCCCTGAAAAATTTTTTTATAGACTATTCTTTCCCCCATGGAATTGTCTTGGTACCCTCTCAAGACTCAACCACAAATTTGAGGGTTTATTTCAATTCTATTTCATGGATCTGTGTGTCTATCATTATGCCAGCATAACATTGTTGTAGATGCAATTACACTGCAGTAAGTTTTGAAATCAGAAAATCTCCTACTTGGTTCTTCTTATTAAAAACTCTTTTGGCTATTTGGGGTCCCTCGAAAATTTTATATGAATTTTAGGATCAGTTTGTCAATTTATACCAAAAAGTTACCTGGGATTCTGATAGGGATTATATTTAATCTATTGATCTATTTAGGGATTATCATCATCCTAACAATATTAAGTCTTCTGCTCCATGTCTGGGATGTTTTTTCATTTATTTAAATCTTATTTGATTTCCTTCAACAATGTTTTGTAGTTTTTCAGAGTGTAAGTTTTGTACTTCTTTTGTAAAATTTATTTCCATTTTATTCTTTATGCTACTATTCTAAAAAGAATTTGTAATATCATTTTTGAATTGTACATTGCCACTTTATAGAAATATAATTGATTTTTGGTATACTGCAACCTTGCTGAACTTATTAGTTCTAATATTTTTTAGTGATTTCTTAGAATTTTCTATACACAAGGTTATGTCATTTGCAAATAGAGATAGTTATCCTTCTTTCTTTTCAGTCTGGTTGCTTTTTATTTATTTATATTTTTGCCTAATTTCCCTGGCTAGAATCTCCAGTATAATGTTCAATAGAAGTGGCATGAGCTGATATTCTTGTCTTATTCCTGATCTTAAAGGAAAGCATTCAGTCTTTAATAATTAAAGTATAAAGTTAGCTGTGGGATTTTTTGTAGATGCCCTTTATTAGCTTAGGAACATTTCTTACTATTACTTGCTTGTTGACTGTTCTGTCATGATACGGTGTTCAAGTTTGTTGAATCTTCTTTCTGCGTCTGTTGAGATGATGCTGTGGTTTTGTTTTCTACTCTACTGATGTGGTTTATTACATCCATTGATTTTTGCATATTAAGTCAATCTTGTAATAAAGCCTAATTGGTCATGGAGTACAAGTCTTTTTATACGTTGCTTGATTGAGTTTGCTAGTATTTTGTTGAGGATATGTGTGTTTATATCTATAAGAGACATATTGATCTGTAGATTTCTTTTCCTGTAATAACTTTGTCTGGTTCTGGTATCAAAATAATACTGACATCGTAGAATGCGTTGGGAAGTGTTTCCTCTTCTTCTATTGTTTGAAAGAGTTTGTAATAATTGGTATTATTTTTTAAATGACATAATTCAGTAGTGAAGATATCTGGGCCTAAGATTTTCTTTGTAGGTAATTTCTTTAATTACTAATTTAATCTTTTTATTTGTTATGTATTGATTCAGATTTTCTATTTCTTCTTGAGTCAGTTTCAGTAGTTTGTGTCTATCTAGGAATGTATCTATTTCATCTAAGTCATCTACTTTATTGGCACATAGCTTTTTTTAAACAGTATTCCTTTATAATCCTTTTTATTTTTGTAAGTTTGATAGTAATGTCCCCTCTTCCATTTCTGATATTAATGATTCAAGTATTTTCTCTTTTATTCTTGGTCACCCTAGGTGAAGATTTATGAGTTTTGTTGATTTTTGCAAAGAACAAATTTAAGTTTTATTGATTTTCTCTATTTTTTCTATTCTCTGTTTTATTAATTTCTGCTCTTTGTTATTTACAGTCTCTGCATGTTTTAGTTTGCTCTTATTTTTCTGGTATCTTAAGGTGGGTGGTGAGGTTATTCACTTGACAACTATCTTCTTTTTTAACGTAGACATTTACAGCTATAAATTTCTCTTTAAGCACTGTTTTAGCTGCTTACCATATGTTTTGGTATGTTGCATCTTTGTTTTCATTTATCTCAAAGTATGCTCTAAGTTTTCTTATGATTTCTCCTTTGACCCACTGGTTATTTAGAAGAGTGTTGTTTAATTTTCACTTATTTGTGAATTTCCCAAATACCTTTCTGCATTGATTTCTAATTTTATTCTATTATGGTCAGAGAAAATAATTTGTATGATTTTAATTCTTTTAAATGTATTGAGCCTTGTTTTGTGACCTAGCGTATGGTCTATCCCAGAGAAAGTTTCCTGTGCATTTAAGAAGATTTTTTATTCATACCTGCTGTAGAAAGCATATAGACAGATTTTGGGTTTCTGTTTCCCCCATTCTGACAATCTCTACCTTTTTATTGGATTGTTTAGTCCATTTGCGTTTAATGTTATTATTGACATGCATGGATTTTTATCTGCCATTTTATCTCATTTTTTTCTATATGTCTCATGTCTTTTGTTCTTTTTATCTCATACTGTTTTCTTTTTTTATTAAGTGAATATCTTCTAGAGTAACATTTTAATTTGTTTAATGATTTTTTTCTCGACATTCTATTGAGTTTTTTTCTTAGTAGTTTCTCTAGGGCTTACCATATACATCTTAACTTATTAGAATTGATTTTAGATTTATATTAACTTAATTCCAGTGAGATACAGAAACATTGCTCTCATATAGCTCTATTCCCCTCCACTTTTTAATGCTATTATTCTCATACATATTACAACTATACATGTTATAAACTTTACCACAAATACATTGTTATAATTGCTACTTTATATAATTTTATGTCCTTTAAGCTTGCAGGAAAAAAGAAGAGCAAGTATATATTTATAGTGGTAGTGATACTAACCTTCGTATTTACCATTTCTCTTAAATTTTTTTGTATGTTAAAATTACTATCAGGTGTGCTTTCCTTACTCAAGTATGCCTTTTCTGCCCCCCCCAATCCTTTGTGCGGTTATTATCAAATATATAATACATTTCTATTTATTTTAGGCCCAGCAATACAATTATATACCTATTTTTTATGTAACAGCTTTTTTTTTTTTTTTTTTTTTTTTTTTGAGACGGAGTCTTGCTCTTTTGCCAGGCTGGAGTGCAGTGGCGTGATCTTGGCTCACTGAAACCTCTGCCTCCCTGGGTTTAAGCGATTCTCCTGCCTCAGCCTTCTGAGTAGCTGGGACTACAGGCGCACCCCACTATGCTCAGTTAAGTTTTGTATTTTTAGTAGAGATAGGGTTTTACCATGTTGGCCAGTATGGTCTCGATCTCTTGAATTTGTGATCTACCCACCTCGGCCTCCCAAAGTGCTGGGATTACAGGCGTGAGCCACCGTGCCCGGCCTATAACTGCTTTTTAAATCCATTAAGAGAAAGAAGGACAAGAACTATGTATTAAAAAAGTCTTTTATAATTACATAGTTACCTTTCTTGATGTTCTTTGGTGTGTGTGTGGGTAGGGGGTGTCTAATTATTGTCTGGTGTTACTTTCAGCCTGAAGAAATTCCTTTAGTGTGTCCTGTCAGTAACAAATCTCAGTTTTTGCTGATCTGGGAATTTTTTATATTGACAGAGTTTTTCTTTCAGCACTTTGAACATGCCACCCCACTGCCTTCTGGCCTCCATTGTTTCTGATGAGAAGGCAGCTATTAATCTTTTTGAGGTTGCTTTGTAAGTGATAAGTCATTTTTCTCTTGCTGCTTTCAAGATTTTCTCTTTGTCTTTCAGCTTTTTTACCATGAGTCTGTGTGTGGATGTATGGGTTGAATTTTGTCTCCCAAAAAGACATGTTGAATTCCTGACCCCCTCCTACCTGTAAATGTGGCCTTATTTGGCTTTAGTGTAGTCTATTTCCCTGCAGTGGGAAGCCTTTCATGTCATTCTCCAGAGGGCATGGTGTGTGTGATCATCCTAGGATGACACTGCTTTTAACAAGTTTCTCTTTGACTGTTTATTTCCCTGATCTCTGTTAAACCAACTGCTTCTGCTGGCATCACATCCAGCTGTAGGCACTTACTAATTGTCAGCTGATTATTCCATTGTTTTTGGCAAAGCTCTGGGGTAAATGTTGCGCCACAGTCTGATCCAATTAAATGTGAGTCCCTTTACAGACATAATTTTTGAGGCCACTCTTTGAAGGTTTTTTCTCACTCCAGCAGGTTCTTCTTAGCTATCTATTTCCATGGTTCTCTCTGGAGAAATAGCTAACCAACTGTTTAGCTTGTTGTAGATAGTCATGAAACTGCCAGTCTCCTCTCAGTTGTTTGCCACAAAAATCATAATTGTTTGTAAGAGCATTCTTAGGCTTGAACTCCCTCACAATCTGATATAAATAAATTCTGTTGCTTTGGGGAGAACTTTGAAGATCTCTATTCTTATGGCCTTCTTCTCTCCCTGGGCAAAATCTCTGAGCCACAGGTCTGAGGCAGGGAGCAAGAGATTGTGGCCCACTTTTCTTAGAGTGACACCCTACATTATGGTCAGAGTGCTGAGCAGGGTAAGTAGCCTCTCTTCTTCTCAACATGTCTCTTGCAGCTTAGAACATCCATCCTACACATGAGCTGTGGTGAGGGCAACTGGAGCCCCAGCATTATCAGCATGACATGCCTGAGGTAGAGACTCCACTCTATGAGGGAGAACTGGATAGAGTAAGGGATCCCCAACTTCTTGGCCATGCTTACCTGGAGTTTAGCCTCTGCCTTGTGTAGCTGGGGAAAATTAGAAATGCTCATAGCCTGTCCCTCCTGGGTACCAGGAGGTACCAGACACTAGATAGGGAATTAGGGGCCGGGGGAAAGCCTCTCTTGGCTAAACCTTCCTGGAATGGAATTTCCATTATATTGAGCCGGGAGGGGAAAAGAGAGAGCAGGTCATGGTCCCAATGTTACAAATTCTCACTGTCCTTAATGAGTTTTAGTAGCTTCTCTTAATTTTTTTTCATTTGCTATATTCCCTTGGGACAATTTCCAAAGACTTTAAGTGATTGTGTTTCTAAAAAATAATTTTTACCAGTTATGCTTGTTTCACTGGAGAGCAGATCTGCAGGGCTCCTCATTCCCCCATTCAAAAGTAGAATCCCTCTGCAATTCTTTATTTTTCTCTCTCTGATACCAGACAGTGAATGCCTTTAGAATAGGGTCTGTATTCAAATAATAATTTCTGCCTACATTTACTCTCTGCCTGGAGGTCTGTGAATTTTATTTATGGTACCCTCAATGGAAAGTTAATTATTATCACCATTCCACTGGTGAGAAAACCAAGGCTTACGAGGTTAAGTGATTTGCCTAAAATCTTACCATTAGTAAATGTTGGTTCCAAGAACACAAACCAAGTGTCTTTCTCTCAACTCCATGGTCTTCCCACTCCATCAGGCTGCCGTTGTGTCTCTAGCACCTAGCATAGTGCTTAGGACACAGGTTCTGGCTAAATGAATGAACTATCATTGAATATACAAATAATTAAGCTCTTAGGGACCAGAAGCTTAAGAATATAAGCATACTGCTACTCTCACTCCTTTTGCATTTTGCTTTCAGGCTGATTGATGTACCTCCATGGCAACCTTCTTGACTTTGCTAATTAGTTCTTTTGCCTTAATGGTAATCATAATATACAAGAACAACTTTAATCCTAAATTCATTAAATTAGATCAGTGGCTATTATGTAGCCACGATATTCAGAAAATGTAGTGCTAAGGTCTCTGGAATTTGCAAAAAGTCTTCCCTTTGAGTTTATTTTAGTGCCAGATTATAGTAGTATTCTTTTGTGCTACTTGATTTTTGCATAATTTGTCAGTTTGGCTATTTTTAGGTTGGTCATCTTTGATATTGTATTGTTAAGAAAGTCAGGTTAGATAAGCCATTCATATCATGATTGTACCTGAGTCTGTTTTTGACACATACATTGATCTATTGGACACCCCAAAAGTTTGGAATCAATAACTTCATTCCAAAACTGAGCTTTATCTTTTAAGTTCCACTTTACCTTTCTCTCTTTCTCTTTCTTGCTTAGAATTACCTTTTCATTACCCATGTAACGTGAATTTATTCTCCTTGTGAACATTTCTGTGAATACATATTTATGTGCGATACATGAAAAAAAGGCCTGAAAAGATATATTCCAAACTTTTACAATGGCTACCTCTAGGGATAGAAAGGGAAAGGGGAAGGAGGGAGTCTGCTGGTCAAAGAAAATGCTAGGCTTATCTGTATTGTTTTAATATTTTATAAGGAGAGCATAGCCTCCTCCTTTCTGTGTTCCCTCTGTTCATTTGTCATTCTTAGTGCAAACATATGAGAATGTGTTTATGTGCCCATGTATATAAGGTAAATGCAGCCAAAACCTCCTCCTAGGAGGGTCCCCCAGTGTCCTAAGGAGTTATTCACCCCTTCTTAATTTTTCTGTCTTAAGTAGGAGAAAAGGGGTATCATTATTCTTGCCTGTGCCTTTTTCCTCTGCAATGTACATTTTTCTATTAGCTTGTGCTGCTGCAGTTTATGGCAGTTTTATTGCTCCGATTATTTGCCCAGTAAACACCAGCTTGGTCACGAAGAAGCAGAGAAAATTGAAGAGGTACTTCTAAAGACACATCCTGTTACCAATAGCAAGTTGCCTCCTTGATTAGTGATTCAAGCTAAGGCCACCTGTGGCGTGATCTAAGCCTTCGCTCCCCAGTGGACACTGTCTGCTGCAATGAGATTAGTCACTGAAGGGCCCACATTGTTGGCCAGGTCAATGCAATGTGGTGGAAAACGCAAGGGCTTTGGGGTTTCAATCTTGGTACAAATTCTAGTTTTATCTCTTACCAGTCAAAGGGCTCACAGGCAAGTTCCAGTTTCTTTCAAGTCTCAGGTTCCTCCTCCTCCCCCTTGTTTCTCCTCCTCTTCCTCATTTTTCTTTTAGAATTAAATGAAATGACATATGGAAGATATGAAAGAACTTAGTTCCGTTATAGCTAAGGCACACAAGAGGTGTTTTATGATTGACTGCCACTTTTCTTTCTTTCTGCTAAGAGAGAAAAAAATAATTCTTTCTCCTTCTTCTGGCAGGAATATGCCCTCTATTTCTCTTTCTTAAAACTATGGAGAGCAGTCCTTACCCACGCTCATCTCCCCTGGCATTGTTGATGACATTTCCAGGTAAGATCTCTTAGGCTGAACAAATAATTGATGCTGGGAAAAAAAAAAAAAAAACATATCAAGTGTTATTAGGATTGAGGCTTGAAGTTTTCATAGACTCAGGCACTGTTCCTCAAGCAGTTCCTGAAAAAGCTTTTAAGATGAAAGATTTCTAATATCTGTAGGAAGAGTAAAACCTGGACCCCTTAAGGAACAATAACCCTAGGCCATGCCAAATGCTTCCTTTCTTTAGATGAGGACTCTCATGAAGAAATAGCAGCTGGCAAGAGATGTCACCGGCATTTCTTATTTCCATATGATAAGCTTGATGTAAAGGTGCCTAACTAGTTTCAAAAAGAAAAAAAACTAAACAAAAATTCTTAAGCATTTCTTCAGAAAGTGTTAGAGAAGACAGAAAATAGAGAGTCAGACTAGCACCTCAGGAAGCACCCAATGTACTAAGGCCAAGGCACTCCTCATTGTTGGTATTAGGTTGGTGCAAAAGTAATTGTGGCTTTTGCCATTATTTTGCACCAACCTAATAAAAGAAGCCTGGACTAGAGAGGCTCCCCCATAGGATCAGGGATGAGGTTTCATCTGAGTGAGTAGAACCCCACCAATTAGGTACATGTAGTCAGTCATTCACAAGCCTCTTTCCCTGGCCAAGGAGACTGTGTTTTCTATTAGTAAGAAAGTCAGGAGACCCAAGAAACCCTCCTGGAACTCACTTGATTTTGCTGGGAACTGTTAGGTTCTTCCAAAAATGACTTTGATATCATTAAAGTTCTTTGAAGACTTTTAATTCTGTAATTCTGACTTAGAAAGGTGGAGTCACACCTACCTTACCTACAAGCTCCAAAAAGACTACCTGGCTTTGGTCTTCAGACTCTGATTCCTTTGCCTCCCCTCGTGGAAAAAGCTCAGGGAGCCTCACTGGAGAGGCTTTATCAAAATGGAGTTGTCTGGGTGAATTCCAGAATGGAAACAACCTAACTGCTACTTCCAAGCACTCTTGGAGGTTAAGAAAAAGAGAGGTTAGCTGTAAAATGAATTGCTTTTCTAGAATTTCTAGCAAACAAAAGTTCTTCCTCAAGATATTACAGTGGGGTGTTCTGTAGAGTTTCCGATTTGCAGAATGGGGCTCTGGAGGAAGGTTTAAATTCAAGGGTTCTTCTTTATCCCCACTGCGGCTGCGATCTGGGCAGAGGTACACAGGATGCCTGACCAGTGGCTGGCACTTAGGAGTCTCATGCCTGAAGCAGACACTCTGGTCTCTCTGAGATACAGGACGCAGACAGGCTGAACGTGAGACAGTGAGCTGGGAGTCACATCTCTAATCTGGTGTTTATCTGGTGGGAGTAGGGAGTCAGAGGTCAATCACAGAATTGCTGTTGCAGACTGTTAGAGTGGAAAGAGGCCTTAGAAATATTGTCCGTGCCTGTGCTTTTAAAGGAAACAGGCTCAGAGAGATCAAATGGCTTTCCAAATGCCTCCTCTACTAGCACGTCCCTCAGGAGTCTCATTCCTCTCAATGTTCTCAGCTGTCAGCATGCTTCCTGACACGTGATAGGTGCTCAACAAATGTGGAATGAATGAGTACACATTGTGCTGCTGACTCAATAACGGAGCTGAAATGAGTACCAAGACTCTCTTTTCTACCCCGATCTCTCAAGTCAACACTCAGTATTACTTTCTCTGCACAGTCAAGCATTGGCACTTGGAGCTAAACTAAGGCTCACCAAAGGCGGCCTCCTGCCTGCACTCAATCTGGACAGATTTGCCACTCACTGCTATGTTGGCCTTGTGGATTGAAGGATCTGCAGCTTCCAGTACCAGCAGAGGATGTCCGTTGTCTTAGAGAACAGATTGGAGCCAATCTCCCCTTTGGAAGCTAGGACTTACAGAACCAACGACACTGTTTCGCCACAGCTGCCCTGGGATGAACGTGGAATGATGGCATGGAGACAGAGAGGTCAAGAGCCACCAGTAGCTCCTGGCCATTGCTTTTCCTGACAAGTTCTGTGATGGGGAGAACATGCGACCTCCCCGAGCATGTAATCACAAAGTGGAGAGGGCAAGCTATGTCGAGCAAAAGTAAGGTCTGGCTAGCATTCTCTTTCTCCAGACTTTTTAAATAACAGGCTGCAGGGCTAGCATTTCTCCTCCGTGTGGTTATTATCTGTTTCTTTTTGCAAAGCAAGACATTCCATGAAGGGTGCTGGGACTGCAAAGCGGGTCGTAAAGGGTGACAAAGCAGAAAGAGAGTTGCCTGCAGTCTCCTCTGCATACGATCCACTCTGCCTGCTTATTCATCCGCACAGAGGAGTCGCGGGCCCCACTCTTAAATGGCTTCATTCATGATGATTGACTTCGGAGATATGCCCATGCCGTTTGCAGAATGTTAAGCAGGAAAGGATTTTTCCCTCCTTTGAACCAGCTGTGTTAGGAGGCTCCAGTTTCACAAACTCAGGGTGGGGGAGGCTGGAAGGAAAAATCAGTCCTCAACCAGAATGCGTTCCTCAAATGTGAATAACCGCTGAATAAAGATGGTAATGAACTTTGAAGAGGCTCCTCAGCATGAAACTGATGCCTCAAGGTGCTCAGGTATTCTCCGACCAATTCTAAGTAGCATTTAAAACCTTCAAATATCTGTAAAAGTTTGTTCTATTTCAGATAGCTTCACTTCTGTCTACTGACTAGCTTTAGTCCCTACATAACAGGAGTTGGAGAAGATCTGAACCTAATTGTTCATTAAAAATCAAAAGTTGGATTTGTATGATGCATTGGAGCTTGCAGTTGTGGTCCCTACCTTTTTTTTTTTTTTTTTTTTTTAAGACAGGGTCTCACTTTGTCACCCAGGCTGGAGTGCAGTGGCACCATCCCAACTCACAGCAGCCTCAACCTCCCAAATTCAAGCGATCCTCCTGCCTCAGCCTCCTGAGTAGCTGGGACTACAGGTGGGCCATCTTGCCCAGCTAATTTTTGTATTTTCAGTATAGGCAGGGTTTTGCCATGTTGCCCAGGCTGGTCTCAAACTCCTTAGCTCAAGTGATTTGCCTACCTTGGCCTCCCAAAGCGCTAGGTTTGCAGGCATGGGCCACCTCACCCAGCCAGTCCCTGCATTTCTAGAGAAACTGTCAGCATGCATTTTGGTTCAAACTTTCTCCTCTCAAAGTTTGATTCCTGCAGTAGCTTCCCAAGGTGTCTCCATTCTTCACAGTCCTCTCACCCCTAAATATTCTAATGCCAAAATATTTTTCCTATGGACTATTTTGTTTATATAACTTTCCCGATGATAAACCTTATAAGCTTCTCATTCATTCCCTTATGAAAACCAAACTTCTTCATAGAGCAGTTAAGGTCCTTACAAATGACCATTCTCATTTTGTATCATACTCATCCTCTACCCCTGATCTCCATTCCAGCCAGGCAGGTTCATACCACATTTTTAGCCAATCTTCAGGCCTCCCCAATTCTGTAACCTTTCTATATGCTTGTTCCTCCACCCAGAAGGACCTCACCTCCCATCTCTGTTTAACACATTCCAAGTCATGCTGCAAGGTCATGAAGGCTTTACTGGTAACTCTTGTTTGGGAACTCCTTGTATTATAAGCACATGGGGAAATGACCATCTTGGCCAGTTGCGGTGGCTCATGCCTGTAATCCCAGCGCTTTGGGAAGCCGAGGTGGGTGGTCACTTGAGGTCAGGAGTTCGAGACCAGACTGGCCAACATGGTGAAACCCTGTCTCTACTAAAAATACAAAAATTAGCCGGGCATGGTGGCATGTACCTGTAATCCCAGCTACTCGGGAGGCTGAGTCAGGAGAATCACTTGAACACGGGAGGCGGAGGTTGCAGTAAGCTGAGTTTGCACTACTGCACCCAAGCCTGGGCAACAGAGTGAGACACTGTCTCACAATAAAATAAAGTAAAATAAAAAATAAAATAAAATACCTTGTCTTCCGCACAAGAATATAGGATTATTGAGAGCACAGACTATGTATTTTTTATATTTCTACCATACCCTCTCACTTATAAAGCCCACTGCTTTGCATATTATGCACACTTTAAAAATAATTTTTCAATGATGAATGAATATATAAGTGAATGAGTGATCAACAAATTAATGTATTAATTCTGGATGTACATTTTCTTAGCCTTTATCTCTATTTTCCTATACCACCCAATGCAAAGATACTCACCTCTTAGTAGCATAATTTAAAAAGAAAGACTAAAATATCTACTATTCAGCCATAAGAAAAATGAAATCAAGTCTTTTGTGGCAAGATGGATGGAACTGGAGGCCATTATCCTAAGTGAGATAACTCAGAAACAGAAAGTCATATACCACATGTTGTCACTTATACGTGGGAGCTAAACAGTGGGTACACATAGATACACAGAGTGGAATAATAGACATTGGAGACCCCAAAAGGTGGGAGGGTAAGAGGGGTAAGGACTGAAAAATTACATCGTGGGTACAGTCTTAATATATGCATGTAAGAAATCTGCACTGGTACCCCCTACATCTTTAAAAATGTTTTAAAAATAAATATATAGGAGAAAAAGAAAGATTATACATATCCGTTATAAAGTCTGTGTTTTCCTCTGGACTCCTTAATTGTAAAAACAAGAGAGTAGAGAGCATAAAAACTTGGACCTCGGGGCTAGGTTTTCTAGTCCCAGGATCCCCAAGGAGTGCTGGGGAGTAGGGGTTGGAAAACATCAGGAGTTACACCAGACAGAGCATGTAAAAGGTTGACTGCTTTCTGGTCTGGCTGAATATGTTTTAACTGCAGAGTTAGCCCTCAAAGGTCATGGACTGGGAAATCTAGCTCTTGTTGGTTTTACTCAAATCAAAATGTTAAAGGACGAATCGAATCCAATTAGTAAAAGCAAACTTCTTATGGGCTGTAAGTAAAGCATAAGGGAAGCAAGCCAGGAAGCATGACCTTAAAGGGGTGCCATGCCCCAGGGGTGTGAAGCTTAGAGGCCTCTTATGTCAATTTTCACAAATAGAATAATAACTGTATTCGCAGAAAATAACTATGATAATAAACATGTCCTGTAGCATACAATTTACAAGCTCAGCCACTAGGGTAAATGCGTTCGGGTCTAAAGCATGCTGTTATGCTACAATACAGTACTTGGGACAGTCATATTATACTTAGCAGATGCAAGAATAGAGCACAGCTATTCCACTCCTCCTTATGTACGTAAGGTACAAAGGATGGGATAGCCCTGAGGAAGTCTCTCTTCCTGATGTAATATCTGGGTTTTTTATTTCGGTAGGAAACCGTCCACTTGGTGATCACAGGATGTAGGTTAGAAGCTATTTTATCAGTAAAAATAGGCTTGCCTTGGAATAAACATATCCTTTCACTCACTAGCCATGTGATCTCGGGCAAGTCATTTTCCTCTCCACGGGTCTCTTTATCTGGGGAACTAAGTGATTAGAACAGAGGATCTCTGGGTCTCCTTTCCACACTAGGGCTTTCTCTGATGGATGAAATTCTATGGGTCTATGAATCTGTGTTCTTTGTAGCTTCTACAGAACTCATTTTACAATACAAGTTTGGCTCTCAGGATAGCTCAAGAACAGATTCATTCATGTTGAGGAAAGGAAGGAGAAAATGTTTCAAAAGTTGATTAGCAAAGCAAAGAAAGGATACTCACATTTATTGACCTGCTTGAATGTTTAAAATGCTTCAAATGCTCACGCCTGTAATCCCAGCACTTTGGGAGCCTGAGGCGGGTGGATCACAAGGTCAGGAGATCAAGACCACCCTGGCTAACATGGTGAAATCCCGTTTCTACTAAAACTACAAAAAAATTAGCCGGGCATGGTGGCAGGCACCTGTAGTCCCAGCTACCCGGGAGGCTGAGGTAGGAGAATGGCGTGAACCCAGAAGGCAGAGCTTGCAGTGAGCTGAGATCCCGCCACTGCACTCCAGCCTGGGTGACAGAGCAAGACTCCATCTCAAAAAAAAAAAAAAAAAAAAAAAAAAGCATCAAACATCTATAAAACAAAAGTTCACTCATTTTTTTTTTAATGAGCAAATATTTATTGACTACATGCCATATATGAGGCAGGCATTGAGCCAGATGCTGGTGATACATAAGAAGCTTTTGTCTAATCCCATTTTACAGATGGAAAAGTTGAAGTTCAGAGAGCTTGGTTAAGTAATCAGCACAACCTCATGTAGCTATTGGTTGGGGAGTCTGGATTTGAACCCATATCCCTCTGACTACTGTAGTACCTCATGTTGCATCCTGCGAAGTGAGTCTACAGAGCCAAAAGGAGTAGTATCTGGGGCCCAAGCCTTGATCTAATATCCTGGGTATTCTTTCTACAAGAGCCACTAAAATGAGATTTTTGTGCTTCCTGACACTATCCCCAAAGTCTAATGGTATCTGAAAATTCTCGCTTTCCTTAATGATTTTTATGGAAACATCTTCTGTTAATCATACTAAACTCTTAGAAAATTGCCTTTGACAACCTCAGAACTAGATCCCTGAAGCCTGGCCCTTAGATGCCACATTTGATATTTCTAGAAACAAGAAGGGGACTTCATGATATCTGAAATCATGAGTGAGGCACTTGAAGAAATAGCTAAAAGATGGTTCTCCTGCAAATTGGAGTTTCTTTCCCTAATCTTGTTCCCCAAAGCCCCTGGCTTCTTGTTGAATTTGCATACAAGTATTCATAGACCTTGCAGAGACTGGGAAGACCCAGAGAGATGTCTCTGTGCCCATCCAACCCTCCAGCCACTCCTGACATGTAGCCTTCGGGCCTGTGTCCTTGTATTCACTCAGGGTTCTCCAGAGAAACAGAACCAGGAGGGTATATATAGACATATGAAAGCATATCTATTATGGAAATTGGCTCACGTGATTATAGAGGCTGATAAGTCCCACAGTATGTCGCCTGCAAACTGGAGAAGCAGGAAAACTGGTGGTTTAATGTAGTCGGGGTCTGAAGGCCAGAGATCCAGGGGAGCTGATGGTGACTCCCAGTGCAAGGCTGAAGGCCTGAGAAATACAGCCGGGGTAGGGGTGGGAGTTGCTGCTGGTGTAAGTCTCAGAACCCAAAAGGCCTGAAAACCAAAAGCTCTGATGTCCAAGGGCAAGAAAAGGTGGATATTTTAGTTCAAGAAGAGAGAAGGAGAATGTGATCTTCCTCCACCTTTTTGTTTTATTCAGGCAGTCAACGATTAGGAGATGCCCGCCCACATTGGTGAGAGCAGGCCTTCTTTACTCAGTCTACTGATTCAAATGCTAATCTCTTATGAAACACCCTCATAGACATACCCAGAAATAATATTTATACCAGCCATCTGGGTATCCCTTAGCCCAGTCATGCTGGTGCATAAAATTAATCGTCATAGCTTTTAACTGGGTAGTTCTGATTGGGGAGCCTGTGTTTTCCAAACCTAATGGATTGAAGCAGCACTGTGTGGTCCTAAGGTAACTCCTTGCTCACGGTCTCCATCTTATGCTAGAAGGATAGAAAGAGTTCTTAAGGAGAGCATACCAGGCTAGGTGACCAAATAGAGCTTCAGCAGAAGACAGTGGATTAGAGATAAAGAATGTGCTTTGGGGGTACAGTAGAAAACTAATGAGTTTGAATGCCAACCCAGCCTACTAGCTGTGTACCTGGGACTCTAGCATCAGTGTCTTCCTCTATTGAATGAGGATAATAATACTTCTTTTGGAAGATCGTGAAGATAGTTGCTAACACAAAGCAAAAACCTGTTTTGCAATAAAGAGTACCTGATGTTATTTTTGCTTTATTTATTAATGTATTATCCCTCATGAATCATGTAAGATTTCAGACCATGGCATTCTAGATGGTCACTTATAGTGAGGGAAGAAGAAGCTTAATTGCAAACTAGAGCCTGTGACTGTATTTGATGTGTGTGTATACATGTGTGTGGGGTGTCTGCATATCTGTGCATGTGTGTGCACACATGTCCTATGTATCCATGCATGCATTTGTATGCTCCTGGGCCTGGAGCCACACCTCCACGTGACATCCTCTGGAATGACTAGAAGATTTGATAAACCTCCCTTCTTGTGCAGGCTTCCTTAAATATGGCAGTTTGAGGATCCCAATTATAGACTCTTGTCTCAAAACAGCCTGGAAGACATAAAGACAAGTCTCACAAACATTGTCTCATTAGTTCAGTAAAACCTTGCTAATTTATCCTAATTGTGGGGAAGGATCGTTTGCATGCAGGAACTGTCTGAAAGGGACCTGCTTTGATAAATAGACAGGACTTACTTGTAATTAGTGGTGCCACTCACACACAAACAATCAATGTGCTCAAGTACTTAAAAATAGTTTGTTCTCGTAAGTGGGTTGCACATTCCCAATGTCATCTTGAAGCCGCTAATGCAAGGAATGGGCTGGGAGCAAGGGGTCTTTTATTTTCTTTCTTATTTCCAAATAACACAACCATCTGACAGATGGCCAGGGGCCTACTATGACCTACTCGCAGGGAGAGAAAGAAACAATGAAGGCAAAGCAGAGGGTTTTGGCAAGAATGGGGACTCAAAAGACCAAAGTCCTAATCCCAGTTCAGTCTCCAGGCTGTCAGGTTACATTCAATTTCTGGGTCCGTTTTGCCTGTAAATGAAAGAGTTTAGCTAAGTGGTCTTCTAGCATTTTTAAGTCACACTATTTCAGAACTGTAAGAGATCCTAGAGATCATCCAATTTAACTCCTTTCATTAAAATGTGAAGATAGTAAGGGGTTCTTTCAATATAGTCACGTGCCACATAAAATTTTGGTCAACAGCAGACCACCTATCAACCATTGTCCCATAAGACTATAATGAAGTTAAAAACTTCCTATCAATCACCTAGTGCCGTTGTAGCCATCCTAACCTCATAACACAATGCATTGCTCATGTGTATGTGATGATGCTGGTGTAAATAAACCTATTTCACTGCCAGTTGGATAAAAGTATAGCACATACAATTATGTTCAGTACATAGTACTTGATAATGATAATAAACAGGCCTGGGCACGATGGCTCACGCCTGTAATCCCAGCACTTTGGGAGGTCGAGGTGGGTGGGTCACCTGAGGTCAGGAGTTCGGCAGAGTGGCCAACATGGCGAAACCCCGTCTCGACTAAAATATAAAAATTAGGCTGGGTGAGGTGCCTCAAGCCTGTAATCCTAGCACTATAGGAGGCTGAGGCAGGTGGGTCACCTGAGGTCAGGAGTTCGAGACCAGCCTGGCCAACATGGTGAAACCCTGTCTCTACTAAATATATAAAAAATTAGCCGGGCATGGTGGAGGGTGCCTGTAGTCCCAGCTACTTGGGAGGCTGAGGCAGGAGACTTGCTTGAACCTGGGAGGTGGAGGTTGCAGTGAGCTGAGATTGCACCACTGCACTCCAGCCTGGGCAAAAGAGTGACGCTCTGTCTTAAAAAAATAAATAAATAAACAATAAATAAGTAAAAATCAGCCAGATGTGGTGGTGTGCACCTGTAGTCCCAGTTACTTGGGAGGCTGAGGCAGTAGAATCAATTGAACCTGGGAGGCGGAGGTTGCAGTGAGTCAAGATCGTGCCACTGCACTTCAGCCTGGGCAACAGAGTGAGGCTCCATCTCAAAAAAAAAAAAGATAACAAGTATGTGTTTACTATACTATACTTTTATTATTATTTTAGAGTGTGCTCTTTCTACTTATAAAGAAAAGAGTTTACTGTAAAACATACGCCATGTTACCCCAACAGCAGCCTCATCCATCTTGTGTTTACCATGTCTCTTGATGGTGTCGTTTTCTCTTGTGCTTGATTTAGTCTCATGTTGTTTTGTTCATCATGGTCCCTAAGCACACAAAATCCACTGCTGATGTTGCCAGTAACAGGCCGCATCAAGTGATTGACCTGGAAACAAAATTAAAAGTGATTAAGGACTACGAAGGTGGAAATCAGTGATGGTTATTGCTTGCCCGTCAAGCATGTCACATGCCACCATAGCTACGATCTTGAAGAACAAGAACAAAGTGATGGAAGCTATTAAAGGATCTACTTCATTGAAGGCAAGGAGACAAACAAAAATTCTAGAAGGGTCTATAGCAGTTATGGAGAAACTCCTCACAACTTGGATTAAAGACCAGATACAGAAGTGTATCCCTCTCAGCACCATGGCAACCATGGCCAAAGCAAAAAGCTTGTTTGCAATGTTGAAAAAACAAGGCTGGACCTGACTGTGATGTTGAATTTACTGCTAGCTCTAGATGGTTTAAATTATTCAAGAATCATTATTCATCACATAATATGAAAGTGAGTGGTGAGTCTGCATGTGTGAGTGGTGACTCTGCATATGCTGATGTGAAGGCAGCTGAAAAAAATTTTCAAACTAGATAAGCTGATTGTGGGGAAAAATTATTTGCCAGAGAAAATCTTCAATATGGTTGAAACCTCCCTATTCTGGAAATGGATGCCTGAAAGGACTTCCATCCATAAGGTGACTAAGTCAATGTCAGGTTTCAAGGTTTTTAAGGACAGGACAACAGTTTTGCTTGGAAGCAATGGTGCAGACTAGAGCTGGAAACCCTTCATGATCTGGCACAGTGAAAACCCCAGGGCTTTCAGGCATATCTATAAGCATGCAGCGCCACTGTACTACAGGAGCAATTAGAAGTCATGGATGACCCAGCTCCTCCTCCAAGATGCCTTCCTGAATTGCTGTCTCAGTGAAATGGAGAAGTGCTATTTGGAGAGTAACATACCTTTCAAGATTTTGTTCACTATTGATAATGCTCCCACACATCCTCCTTTTACTGGTGATTTTCATCCCAAGATCAAAGTGGTGTCTCTCCCTTCAAATAGCACCTTTTTGGTCCAACCAATGGATCAAAGAGTTATAGCAGCTCTTCAGGCCTACTACCTGGACATAACATTTGTATCTACTACCTGGACAGGCTATTGCTGAAGCTGAGGAAGACACTGAGATGACACTGATGCAATTCTGGAAGGATTACAACATCTAAGACTGCATCAAGAAACTTGCTTGCGCTTGGGCTGGTGTCACCAAAGAGTGTATGAGTGACATCTCAAAGACACTCAAGAGGCTCATCCATGACTTCAAAGGATTTGCCAAGGATGAGGAGGTTGCAAAAATCAACAAGGCTGTAAGCTGAGATGGCAAATAAGTTTAACGTGGGTGTGGATGAGAATGACATTGAGGAGCTCCTAGAGGTGGTTCCTGAGGAATTGACTAATGAGTTGTTGGAACTGGAAGAGGAATGCAAAACTGAAGAAGAGGCAAGAGAAAAGGAAACTGCATGAGAAGGAAAAGAAGAACTCCCAAGAAAATTCATAGTGAAGGGTTTAGCAGAAGCTTTTCCAGACCTCAACAAGGTCCTCAAAAAGTTTGAAGACATCTCCCAGCTACTTGGGAGACTGAGGCAGGAGGATCACTTGAGGCTAGGAGTTAGAGGCCAGCCTGAGCAACATAGCAAGACCCCCATCTCTTTTTTTCTTAAAAAAGAAAAAGGTTTGAAAACATGGATTCCAATACCAAAAGGTTTTTTTTTTTTAATAGAGAGGAATGTTCATCGTGCATTATCTGCTTACAAGCAACTCTGTGATGAAGAGAGGAAACAAAGCAAGAAATCCACCCTGAACATATTTCTGAAAAGAGTGACAGCTCCTCTAGAACAGCCTCAGGCAGGGCCCTCAGGAGATATCCAGAAGAAGGCATTGTTATCACAGATGACAGCTCCATTCATGTTATTGCCCCTGAAGACCTTCCAGTGGGACAAGATGTGGAGGTGGAAAACTGTGATACTGATGATCCTGACCATGTGTAGGCCTAGGCTAATGTGCATGTTCGTGTCTTAGTTTTTAACAAAAAAGTTTAAAAAGTAATACAAAAATAATTAAAATTTATGAAAAATAGAAAAAGGCATACAGAATAAGGATATAAAGAAGAAAATATTTCTGTATACCTGAGCAACGTATTTATGTTTTAAGCTAAGTGTTACTACAAGAATCAAAAAGTCAAAAAATTAAAAGTTTATAAAGTAACAAAGTTACAGTAAGCTAAGGCTAATCTATTATTGAAGAAAAATATTTTTTATTAATTCAGTGTAGCCTAAGTGTCCAGTGTTGCTAAAGTCTACAGGAGTGTACAGTGATGTCCTAGGCCTTCACCCTCACTCACCACTCCTCACTGACTCACCAACTTCCACTCCTCCAAGGTTCATTCATGGCAAGTGCCTTACATAGGTGTACCATTTTAAATCTTTTATGCTATATTTTTACCATACTTTTTCTATGTTTAGATGTGTTTAGATACACAAATACCGTGTGTTACCTTTGCCTACAGTATTCAGTACAGTAACATGCTGTAGATGTTTGCCACCTAGGAGCAATAGGCCATACTATATAGCCTAGGTGTGTAGTAGAAAGTTTATTTTGCCAAGGTTGAGGACGTGCCCGTGACACAGCCTCAGGAAGTCCTGATGACATATGCCCAAGGTGGTCAGGGCACAGCTCCATTTTACACATTTAGGGAGACATGACACATCAATCAATATACGTAAAAAGTACATAGGTTCAGTCTAGAAAGGCGGGACAACTTGAAGCAAAGGCAGAAGGTGGGCAGGAGCTTCCAGGTCACAATTAGGTGATACACAAAGGGTTATATTCTTTTGAGTTTCTGATTAGCCTTTCCAAAGGAGGCAAATCACATATGCATCTATCTCAGTGAGCAGAGGAGTGACTTTGAATAGAATGGGAGGCAGGGTTGCCCTAAGCAGCTTCCAGCTTGAGCTTTCCTTAGTGATTTGGGGGTCCTCCTTTCACACCGTCTAGGTTTGTGTAAGTACACTCTATGAGGTTCCCATGACGACAAAATCACCTAAAGATGCAGCTCTTGGATGTATCCTTGTTGTTAAGCAATGCGTGACTGAACCTTCTAAGGGTTCATAGGCTATAAATTATGAAGGTTGAACATATGTTTAATGATGTATATGATTAAGATAAAGGCTCAAGAAAGAGTGAAACTGGAAGTACTTGACCCAGTTCAAGGTCCAAGCAGAGAAAAGATGAACAGCCAACAGGGCACACAGAGTGCAGGCAATCAGAGAAGACAGAAATGGGTAATGGGGTAGAGAAATGAACCCTTGAACCCTGAGCTCAAGGAGCAGAATAAGTCTGGGGTCACCAAGGGAGCAAGAAGGCAGGTGGGAAGCCCACTAGGAATCAAGGACACAGATAAGAGTCTTAGTAAAGAAAGGCAAAACTCAGCAAAAATACTGCACCACGGTCCCAGGTCATAGAGGAAGAGGATGAGGCTTGACGGGAGCCACTGGCTCAGCCAGTGGTGATCATTATAAGGCTGGAGGTCCAATGGCATCTTCTCTGATTAAAGGAGATTAAGGAAGCTCTGGGCTTGTGAATTGTGTCCTCCCCTCTGGAGGAAAGTAGAATAATGGATAGAGGGATGGGCTGATGGATTGAAGGGGGCTCCGTGTAATTTTTGGCATCCAGGCAGAAATGGTTCCGAGTGGCAGGAAACAGTGCCAATGGTCCCGTGAGCCTGACCAGAGCAGGAGCTGAAGATTTGAGAGTCCTCCCCACAGAAAGCAGCACTGAGACTGTGAGAATGAACAAGCTCTCTGCAGAGACAGTAGAAGGAGAAAAAGGAAGGTCAAAGATGATCTTAGAGAACACTCTCTTCTCGCTGGGTAAATACACTAAAAGGTGACCTATTCTCTTCCCTTACTAGAGGCTAATAGTGAAGCATATATTGAGGACAGGTGGGAAACAAGACGAGTGGCATTTTAGAGGTGACAAGAATAAATATGGCTCACTCCTTGGGTTGCACGTTATCAGATTCGCCCATCTGTGTCTCTCCTTCGCTTACATTACTATTCACTGATGAGATGGCATCTCCATTGTCTCCAGGATGCAAAGTACAACAAAACAAGTCCCTGGTGTTCTTTGCCTTCAGAGATAGGTGTGGATTGAGATATGAAAGCCACGGAAATAAATCAGCCCCTAGAAACAAATGCTTGTATGTTCCTTTCTCCCTGGGAAATTGCATTCCAAGGAAAAATCAGCAAGTTCTGTTCTTTTCTTGATCTGGTTTTCTACCTGAGCATTCTCAAGCCTGGTGACCTTGAGGCTGTCAGCTGGGGCAGCAATCTCAGAAAGGTCTGCCCGCCTCCAGAATGCCTCCCTTCTCAGCCTGAAACTCATAGAACTAAAAATTCTCATCTGCCCATTCCCCACTTTTCTAAAAATGTAAAGAATAAGTCCAGAGAGAAAAAATAGTTTGATCAAGATCATCAGCGCATATCATGGATTAGATAGTATTTCTCAAATCAGAGTACTACATAAGCCTCTTTTAAAAGAGAAATAAAAATATTTTATAAGTCCCTATAATATATGCATATACCTCGATTGAACACTGACTTCAGGTTAACAATTCGCAGATTGGTTCAGGGTGACTGAGCTGTGTCATGTGCTCCCTGCCCACTGGCTCCTATCCTGAGCTCCATCGGGCTTGTTACCCCTCATGGTCCACTCCATCCTGAGCTCCTGGCAGGCCTTATAAAAAGGGCTTTCCAGCCGGGCATGGTGGCTCACACCTGTAATCCCAGCACTTTGTGGGGAGGCCGAGGCAGGCGGATCATGAGGTCAGGAGATCGAGACCATCCTGGCTAACACAGTGGAACCCTGTCTCTACTAAAAATACAAAAAAAAAAAAATAGCCAGGTGTGGTGGCACGTACCTGTAGTCCCAGGTACTCGAGAGGCTGAGGCAGGAGAATCGCTTGAACCCGGGAGGCAGAGTTTGCAGTGAGCCAAGATGGCACCACTGCACTTCAGCCTGGGTGACAGAGCGAGACTCCATCTCAAAAAAAAAAAAAGAAAAAGAACTTTCCCTGAGTACCTTTGCCTATAAGAATCTTCCCAGGCCCACCTGTAGCCTACTCACTCTTTCTCCTTTGATCATGGTGGGATATCTTTCTCTGCCTCTAGTTATACAGTCTCTGGGACTTCTTGGTTTCCAAAGCTACTCTCCTAGTAATTGGTCTTTATTTGGCTTAATTCCTTTTTTCAGCTCCACACTCACCCAGAGATGAGGTAGAAAAAGGTGGAGGAGTCTACCAGGTGATGCGATGAGCAGCTAGGCCATCATGACATGACACATCGGTGAAATGTTAGGGGTCCATAGGAAGAGGGCATAGCCCTGGGAAGCTCTGAATGGAAGGTAGGGTAGAAAAGGCTGCAGGGGTCAAAGGGTGTGTAGGGAATTGATCCACAGCATGTGAGAACTGAATGGACCAAGGAAAGCCCTAGACCTACTCCCTTACTTTGCATATAAAGACAGTCCCAGAGATCCAAAGAGCCTTGCTTGGTTCCTCGTGGGTTAGGAGACCATAAAAGGTAACAGTTAAGAGCAGTGGTTTTGAAGTTGGACAGGCCTGGGCCCTGAATTCAAACTCAGCCTCTATTACGAGCTGTGTGATCTTGAGCAAGTCATCTGACTTTCCTGAATTTCTGTTTCTTCATCATAATAAACCTACTTCATATGGTAGGGGCGAATGTTAAATGAGATAATGGCTTAGAAGTGCTTAACACAATGTCTGCCACTTAATAAGAGTTCAATAAATGTTAACTGTGAATAATGACAAAGGTGGAATTAGAAAGTCAGGTCTTCTGGATCCTTCATCTGGATGTTGTATATCTCACCCAAAGGAGACAAATTTGATTCATAGGTTTATTTATGGTTGAACCTGGCAGAAAACATGCTCTTCTAAGAAGATAAAGAGCTGCTTCAGATCAGAAAGTTGAATCGTAGGCAGTTAGACACGTTTGCTGGAGAGTTGAAGGACAGGTCTACCGGTCCAGGACTGAGGATGAACCACAAGTGATGCAGCACGCGGACTTCATGCACAAAATAAGATGTGCTGCTAATCAGGACAGCTGATACATGGACAAAACCAGAATGTGCAGAAGAAGAAAAAGAACAGACTGTGCCAGGATGGGAAGCAGGATCATTATACAGGCCAGATCTTTCATGAAAATTCTGTTGTAACTTTTTTTTTTTTTTTTGAGATGGAGTCTCACTCTGGCTCCCAGGCTGGAGTGCAGTGGCGCGATCTCAGCTCACTGCAACCTCCACCTCCCGGGTTCAAGCCATTCTCCTGCCTCAGCCTCCGAAGTAGCGGGATTACAGGAGTGCACCACCATGCCCAGCTGATTTTTGTATTTTCAGTAGAGATGAGGTTTCACCATGTTGGCCAGGATGGTCTCGATCTCCTGATCTCATGATTGGCCCACCTCGGCCTCCCAAAGTGCTGGAATTACAGGCGTGATCCACCGCACCTGGCCTTGTTTTAACTTTCTAATACAGAAAATCCATGAATTGGGTACCCTCCCAGCTCCATGCAGGCTCTGCAAAGGAACACAGGTACAATCAGCAATCGGTCAGCTTCTATTCATTTCTATGAGGCCTCTCAGAATGAGGCTTCTGAGCCTAAGAGGAACCTGTTTACTGAAGGCAAACTTGGAGACAGGCTGGGAATATCTCAGCTCATAGCCTCGTAGATTCTCATTCCACCTCAAATCCTAACAAGTCCTTATACAAAAGGGTTCCTGGAGGAAGAAATGGAAACAGGAGGTGAGGGAGGGATTTGGGAGATCAGAGTTCCTAGGGAGGACTAGAGATGATCCAGGGAGGCTGATTTGGTGGAATGATGCATTCCTTCAGCCTTTGCTATAGAGGCCGCCCCAGACTTCCCTACATTCCATCCTGGGGGAACAATAGGTGTTGACTTGTCCCAAGGTCGTGCTCATCAGTAATAGGGATGGAGAAATGTCACTCTGGGCCTTGTCGGCTCTGCAATTATTCAAATGCTTTGCTTATAATACAATCACAGCTCCTAGCTCTGATTATTGGCATCATCAACATCATCTATTAATGGCCTTTGAGCTCCTCTGGGTACATGGCATTGTACAAGATGCTAAAAGATGCCAAACACAGACTCAGAAACCGAAAGAGGAAAAAGAGCAGGAAGTGGACCAACCCAGGCATCATTCTGAGTAGAAAGATCTAAACCAGCCGAAATCCATTCATGTGAGCTAATCTTAAAGGGCCAGGACCTGCTAAGTACCAGAAGGGCATTAATTATTCCAGGGTCTTCTATCATTTCTATCTTCATTATTTCAGCTGCCTATTTTTAACTAGAAGTATTTAAATTTCCATTAGTTTTCCTTTTATCCCTTTTGTTAAGTAAACCCTCTCTTTATCACCTCTCTGCCTCTCCCAGTGTGGTGGCTGTCTGCAGAGTGAAGAATTAGAAAAACTCTAACAGTTAGAACAAAATAAATAGGTAAAGGAGGGCTAGCTTCCAAATTGGCCAGACCTTGCTGTGTTTGCACAGTGGCACCTTGATACCTGGCATTTCTCTTTGATGGTGCCGTAGGAACTCAACACAAAGTGGGGAGACACGCTTTGCTGAAAATGCCCCGTCACCCCAGCATGAAACATGTTCCACCCACCGCAGAGCTCCAAACAGCTGTTCTGCCTCCTTTCATGCATGTGCTTTTTAGCTGATGGTGGGAGACAGCATGCCAGAAACATCTGAGTTTCCACCAAAGGCATATTGTAGGTTAGAAGACACAGACAGCTGCTGTTGTATTGAAAACCTGCTCATCAGAGTTTCGAAAGGAACAGATATGAAAGGTTCAAATGACCCCTTCAGTGTTTCTCCATCTAACTAGACCTTAAGCTCTGCCTCTCATTAATCTTTAATGAACAACAAAGAAAATGTGTAGCTGGCTAATTATTGTGTAGGGTGGCAGATGCTTAGCGAGGAAAAGTCCCCAGAGTCACGTCATTTAAAGAGACATTGTCAAAAAGAATCTTATTTTGAAATGGCTTCCCTGACCTGTAGCATTATCTATTCTTTTAAACTTGAACTACTTTTCTCTCAACATTTTGATCATTGTCTCCGTCTAGGGCATTTGAGCTTTAAAAGTCTTGAGCAATCAGGTGATGGAATCCCATATTCGTCCCCTACAAGAAATTCTCAGTCCTCCTCCTTGGGGCTGGGTGGGAAGACTTGAGTGCTGCTTTTCCTCGTGGCATGATACCTACCTGGAACATCTTTCTTCAGTTTTCTCTTTCCCCAGTTAATTCATTCATCCTGTCCCATGCTGCACTGGGCTCTCACTTTCTTTGATTTTTCTCAGCATTTAGACAGTTTTAGTATGAAAACTCTTGAACACAAGTTCCTCCAGGGCAGAGACTGTCTCATCATCTCTGTCCAGTACTTACTACAATGCCTGGCGCACACTATACTCAATAAATGTTTGTTGAATTCAATGAAATTGCTTATAGGTGCCTTGGGCTTATTTGCTTTTTATTTCATACTACTCTGCAGTTTTCACCACTAAAGATTCCTTGAAGGTAGAATTCTTGTCTTATTCTTTTTTTGCCCTACCTCTAGAACAGTTGCTACACATTGATGTAACAGGTTCTCCACATGCTGGATGGCCTTGTTAATTGTTGTTTAAAGTCATCTTGTATATCAACTCTGCATGCACTGTAAGGTGTTCTGTTTGAGTAAATATTTATATGTTATTTATTTAAGAGGAAACTAGGCAAGTTTGATTAGAGCTCTTTTTTTTTTTTTTTTTTTGAGACGGAGTCTTGCTCCGTGGGTCACGCAGGCTGGAGTTCAGTGGCATGATCTGGGCTCACTGCAACCTCCGCCTCCTGGGTTCAAGTGATTCTCCCACCTCCACCTTCCGAGTAGCTGGGATTTCAGCCATGTGCCACCATGCCTGGCTAATTTTTGTATTTTTAGTAGAGATGGGGTTTCACCATGTTGGCCAGGCTGGTCTCAAACTCTTAACCTCAGACGATCCACCCACCTCAGCCTCCCAAAGTGCTGGGATTACAGGCGTGAGCTAACATGCCCGGCCTACAACTCCTTTTATAGACAATTTTATTTTTAGATTGAAATGCAAGGATGTCAGTGCTGTATTTTTAAGATTGTGTTTACTTCAGGAGTCAATAAAAAAATTTTTTTTTTGAGACAGGGTCTCTCTCTGTTGCTCAAGTTGGGGTGCAGTGGCACGATCATTGCTCACTGCAGCCTCAACTTCCCTGGCTCAAATGATCCTCCTACCTCAGCCTCCCCAGTAGCTGGTATTACAAGCATACACTATCATGCCTGGCTAATTTTCTTTCCTTTTCTTTTCTTCCTTTTTTTTTTTTTTTTTTTTTTTTTTTTTGTAGAGACCTGTCTCACTGTTGCCTGGGGTGGTCTCAAACTCCTGGGTTCAAATGATCCTCCTGACTCAGCCTCCCAAAGTGCTGGGATTATAGGTGTGAACAAGCATGCCAGCGCCCCCACCCTCCCACCAATTGTTTTAATTTAAAAAGATTAACCGCAGTAACATTCTAAACAGTTGTTGAAGAAGTGATTTTGGAACCTTTGGAGGAGAATATGGTAATTCCAAGTGTCAACACAGGCTCACTTAGAATAAAAAGACCCTCTTCAGGAGCGTCATGAGCTTAGTAGGGTAGAGGAATGGAACAGACACAGAATAACTTGATTTAGGCAACCCACTGGACAATGCTTTCCTGATATTCTGGTAGGTGAGTCTGTGGCAAATTGAACACTTTTATCCAAAGAGGCATAGTGAGTAAGTCTTGCCCATCTGGAAGGCATCTCAGATAAAAGTGCCAAAGGATTCCGCTTTGGCCTTTGGCTTTTCTGTGTTTTTGATGCGTGACTGAGAGGGTGGCAGAAACAGAATTTAACATTTGTTCAGCACTTACCACCTTCTAGGTACGGTGCTAGAAGCTGTGTGGTTATCATCTCATTTTATGAGTGGCCTGGTCTGCTGATGATTCAAAGCTCAGGAGCAAAGCCAACTTCACAGATGACAGACTAAATTCTGGCAACCAAGTAGTTAAAATTTGCTGCAGAAAGCACCATGCCCCCACACTCAGGTTCAAAACAACCAGCTGCTTTGAGCCACAACCTACAGAATCTAGGAGATCTGGTTCGGTAATCATTTGTGGGAAAAGAATTGGGGGTAACAAAGAGGGGGTAGGGAGGAGGAGGGATTTGTGGTGATCACATGTGAACAGAAAGCGATGGTGTGCTGGAGCTGCTTGGCGAGAGAACCCTCCAAGAGGCTACAGATGCATAGCCCAGACCTCAGGGAGAACTGGCCCTAGGATTCCCTGCACCTGCCAGACCAGTACAAGGTACCACCATTGTCCTAGACTTCTGTAGCTGAACAAAGCTTCAAGAGTCATCTAGCTGTATTTTGGTCATCAGATTTGAAGGGAACAGACTTAAATCCAGAAGAGAATGACCATATCAAAATGGGCACTAGAAACCAAAAAATAGAAACCTATTATACGGTGTATCTTCAAAGCACTCTTCTATTCATTCTACCATTTAATCCTTCAACAGTCCTGTGAAAGGGTTAATAAAATAAAGAAACCACAAGGAAAGAAGTGGAGTGACTCGCCCACAGCCAGCCAGTGAAGAGTCTGGCTCTTGAGTTGGGATCTCCAGACCATCACTCGGGTATTCTTCCTCTGGACCATGCTGTGTCTCTATGCACAAGCATCTGCTCACGCTGGGCCAGACGCCGAGTAGGCACAGGCCTGTGGGGAAGTTGTTCTGCAAGGCTCACAGGAGGCCAGAGGTTCCCACAGCCCATAAACTCCCAGCCCTTAGCCAGCCCCTGGCCCCCCACACAATCTGACCCAGAGCAGCTGTGTAACAGGCACGGGCTGTTTGTGCCTCTGGCTTTCAGCAGAGTTTGGGCTGGAGTTCACCTGGGAATGGCTCTGCCAGGCTTTCACTCAACACCCGCTGCCAAAGTCTGCCTTCCCTTCCTCCACTGATCTCTTGTGAAGGGAGGGATGTAAAACACAGCCCAACTCTAACCTGCGGTTCCCACCAGCCCGGCCCTCAGAGCTGCCCCGGCTCCCAGAAACAATACCCTGATTATCATTCATTATTTCTACTTCTTAGTATTAAAATCCTTTTAATATGGCATTGAAGACCACTGGGGAGTTTTAAATTTCGTGTCAGACCAGGATTTATAGGCCAGTTCTGAAATTTTACCTCTGGGCTCAATAATTGCAATTCCCTTTTAATCGCTCTCTTAGACACCTCTGTTAAAAGACTTCAATTATTTCCACACTGTGGCCCATGAGACGGCCAATTTGAATACCCAACCCATGTCACCTCCTTATTATGGAGGCCTGCGTGGGAGGCGCTAGACAGGAACTTGGTCTGAAGGTACTAGGTCTGATGTGCTGTCCCAAAGGGCCTTGGGATTTTTGGGAAAGGAGTCTCCTCTCTCCAGGAGTCGTGAGTTCAGGGATCATACCCCACCCACCTCTGTTCTTCCACTCCCCAACTGGAAGCAAGTACCAGATGTGTTAGGATGTATATGCTCACTGAGGCTTGTTTTGAAAGCTGTACAATTCTATGAACAGGCAAATGCATATACTGGGAATCCTTCCATGGGAAATTGCTTAAAGGAATATGATACAGGGGGTTGGCTGGGAGGGTCAAGGCAGTTAGAGATCTTTCAGCTGAGCTCTGGAGAGTCCTGTGGTGCTTTTGGGAAAGTAACAGCAGACACTACCTGAGGGGGTTGTGGAGTATTCGAAAGAGACTCTCACCACCACCTCCACCAAGGACAGAAAGAGGACACAGGATCAGCCACAGCCTGCAAACAGCGGCCACGTCAGGAGAGGAGAGAAGAGCAGCTTGCTCCTCGAAGGCCCAACTTGATCAGGTGTAGTGAAGGGGGCTGAGACAGGAGCTGAGGGTGGGAGTAGCTAAAGGAGCCACCTCCAGGATGCCATTTAGTGCTTTGTATCTGATGACAGCAATTTGTAAGGGGTAAATGCATAACTCTGTAACCAGAGCCACTAAGTGCTGAAAGAAGGTTTAATTGTGGGCCAAAAACATCTGCTTTTTTTTTTTTTGAGACAGAGTCTCACTCTGTTTGCCCAGGCTGGAGTGCAATGGTGCGACTTCGGCTCACCGCAACCTCTGCCTCCCAGGTTTAAGTGATTCTCCTGCCTCAGCCTCCCAAGTAGCTGGGGCTACAGGCATGTGCCACCATGCCTGGCTAATCTTTGTATTTTTAGTAGAGACAGGGTTTCTCCATGTTGGTCAGGCTGGTCTCGAACTCCCAACCTCAGATGATCTGCCGATCTCAGCATCCCAAGGTACCCGGACCACAGGCGTGAGCCACCACACCCAGCCAACATCTGCTTTTATTGGGAGATAGTGGACTGAATGAGAGGCAGCACTCAGGCTGGGAAAAGGGGACTTCATAAAAGAGGCAAGGGCAACAAAGAAAATCTAGGATTCAGGGTCTCGCACATTGTGATCAAAGTCTTGTTCTTGGGTGGCAGCAGACAAGAGGGAATGAGACTCCCCAGCCTTGGTAAGGAGGGGTCCCCTGGGACCTCGGTCAGCAGCCTTGCATGGTAACATAAGGGATGTCTGCACTGGAGGCCATTAATGGGTTGGACCAAAGCGAGAAGGGTCACTCAAGAGCATGGATCTCCCAATACAGCAATGGGCTAAGCTATTGTGTCCCAAAACAGAGTGCTGTCACCCCAGGATATTCAAAATGATTACCTGCGGTACTATTAACATGGCTTCTTATATTTATCACTAATTTTAAAATAAGATATTGAATTTTACTAATACTTAATATCAGACTGACAGGAGTATATGCGCATGCTCAAAAGATTTTTATAATACATGAAAATGAACGAAAAAAAATCTTTTAAATGAGATGATGTACCTGACACCAGAAGACTCAGTGGCATATGATTTAACTCAACATGGGGCTCCAGCCCCTGGCCTGTCACCGAGCCCATGCCCACAAACATACACGGAGCCAAGTCATCATGGATGAGGCCTCAAGGTCCCAGTTATCCTAACTCAGTTGGTAAGATGCCATGAGGATCAGCACCAGACTCTTGCTCTAGGATCCTAGTGTCTGTGTCTTTTCCTATCGAAAAAATGGGCTTTTATTTCCTTCTGCTTTCCATGCCTGTTTTCTCATCTGTAAAATGGGAAGAGTCTTGCATTATCCCAGTACCACAAGAACCAATGTTCATTTTCACCCATGTGAAAATGCAAGGAAGAAGGAGACTCCCAGGTCCGGTTTGTCCCAGGCTCCTCCACACATATAAGCCCCTCTCATGCCCCTACCAAAGGAAGACCTCATAAACGGAAGAGACATCACCGGTCAGGCTCCACAGGCACACACAGCAGGCAGACACCATGGTGGCCAAGCCCCATGCTCTGAGGCACTTCCCACTTGCAGGAGTCTTCAAGGGGTGGATAAGGGAGTGCCAGCCTAGAAATCCCAATCCCAAGCCCAAGCTCAGGCACACACTAGCTAATCTTCTGAGCATGCCCTGTAGCTCTTCATTCCGCATTGCCTGGCTATGCTACAAAGGAGACACGGGCACCCTCGTGCCTTTTGCCCAGGGTGGCTGTAAGAATCAGATTAGTTGGGCGGTGGGGGTTGTATGTGTGGAAACAGGGAGCCCTCTTAGATGGTAAAGAGTGTACTGAGCTGAGGGTCCCCTGGCTGTCCCAAGGACTCACCCTTGCTGTGGACTCGGAATTTGACAGATCTAGGTTGGAACCTCATCTCTGTTATTTACCAAACCTAGAACAAGATAATTCACTTGCTAGAATCTCAGTTTTTTAATCTGTGCAATGGGAACAACAATTCCTACCTCTTAGAGCTCCTAAGAGATTAAATGAGATAACTGTGAAGAATTCCTGCCCAGCGTCTGACACAGAGTTAGTGTCCAAGGATGGCAGGCGCTAATGTAACTATTATCTAATGTCAGTGTAACAAGCACCACCGTCACCACTTGGATGACATCATTGGCAGGTTTCCAAAGCCAGAGACTCTTGCAGACCACAGTCTCGACCATTTTCAGATACCCCTGCAGCAGCTCCTGCCACACAAGCCTCACCCTGTAGCCATGAAGAGCCTGAGTGTCCATTAACTGCCTTGGAGCAGAGGCCACCAGCGCTTTGAATCAGAGGCTCAGAGCTGTTTTGAATGCTGTCTCTGAACCTGCTCTGAGCTGTCAGCAGAACTTTGCAACCACCCACAGAATTCACAGGAGGTGGGAGCTCACATGCCAGATTCCATCTTTCCAGCCTTTGTCACGGTCTATTCCAGAGTCCTCTGACCTCGGAGAATGCTGGAAACTGGGAAGGAGGAGGGGGGTCCTGCTCTCCTGCCCAGCTCCATAAGAAACATGCCGAGCAACTGAAAAGATGCCAGCTTCTGTGACCTATCACAAAAAGGCCTGGGTGAAGACATGGGTTTTACAGCCTCATCCCCAGGAGCCAGTTTTTATGGACTCTTTGGAGGTTTCTGCTTGGTTTGCTTTTAAGAAAACTGCATTGCCAGCTCACCAGTGGCTATAGTGACACTTATAAAACAGTGGGTGTCCAGGAAGCTCTGTATTAAGACACTTTGCATACATCTCTTGGGAGACAGGTAAAGGAAGTGGGCTATTCCTGTTTTGGAGATGGCCGAGCCCTTATCAATTAAATATATCACTGAAGGACTGAACCAGCCAAAAACTGGGAGCAGCCTGTCCTTTCCAGAAAATTACAGCTTCCAGTGTATTAGGCCAGGGACCATGTCAAATGATCCTGAGGGTTTGGGGCTTTCTTACTGTATTGATTCAAAGTCTGAGAGAAATGAGAAGATGGGAGGAAACGCTGGCCTGTGCCCAGGGATTCCTGCCCCCTCTAGCCCTAGCCCCCATCTTTCTGGCTCCTGCATGTGCCCCTGCCTCTCATGCAGGCTCAGCATCCCTTAAAAGTTCCAGGTCACAATTTTGAGCTGACCCTCGAAAGTCATGAAAATTGGCAGTGGCAGTCCCAGCCCAGAAATTGACTCCCAAGTGAACATATCGTTGGCACAATCTCAGGGCCTCAAGCAGTTCTGTTTGTTATGTTCGGGAAAGCTCCCATATGGCTGATACAGCAGAGGCCTGAATTCTGAATTCCAAATTCCATTAGTTTCCTCAAGCATGGCTTAAAGGTGTGAGCATGAGCCTGGGCAAATCTAATGGGCCCTTGATTCCTGCATTGTTAGCAAACACTTCCTAGTATCATTCTACAGAGGGGCCTCCCTGAAGGGTATGGTGATAGTATTCATCTGGGAGGCAGAGGTAAACGTGTAGAAAAATGTTCTGTACAATTTCTGGCCACAAGGAAAATAGGGCTGCTTTGCAAGAAATAAGTTGTTTTCTCAGCTGGTCTGTCCACCAGGCTGGTCATCACATAGAAAATGATACCATTCATCCGAAGTCTGCAAAAATACTTTTAAAGTTTGTTTCTCCAGTTAGTGGGGATGGTTTTGAATGATCGACCTGTATTAGTTTGCAAGGACTGCCATAACAAAGTACCAGAAACTGGTGGCTTAAATAACAGAACTTCATTGTCTCACAGTTCTGGAGGCTAGAAGTCCAAGATCAAGGTGTCAGCAGGGTTGGTTCCTTCTGAGGCCTGTGAGGAAGAATCTCTTCCATGCCACTGTGCTTCTAGTGGTTTTCTGGCAATCTTTGGCATTCCTTGGTATACATCACCCTAATCCCTGCCTTCATATTCACACGGCATTCTCCCTGTGTGTGTATCTGTCTCTGTGTCCAAATTCCCCTCTGTTTTATAAGAATATAGTCATATTGGATGGGTGCCCACCCTAATGATCTAATTTTAACTTGATTACCTTTATAAAGATCCTGTTATCACATAAAGTCACATTCTGAGGCATGGGGGGTTAAGACTTAAACATACCTTTTTGAGTGAGTCACAATTCAAACAATGATACTGCCTTTCCTGCCCACCCTACTAGGACCGAAGGAAGCCAGCCAATAGTGGCACATGCCACCTTCTCCAAAAAGCTTTTCCAAAAACTTCTCAGACAGGGTTTGGCACTCCTTGCCCTTGTCCCCTATACCAGTTGCCTGGTCCAACCTGGGAGGTGTATTCCTGAAAAACACCAAGATGAGCCTTGATCAATGAGGAGTAGCCAAGTAGCAAAAAAAAAAAAAAAAAAAAAAAACCATAGTAACAAAGGGCCTCTGGGTACAGAGAACATCATGAGCAAAATGTGGAGGATGAAGGAGCCCTGGTATGTGCAGGGAGCCAGAGGCAGGTCCCGAGGCCATTGGAGAACTGTGGTCATGTTTGAGGGTTTTTTTTGTTTGTTTTTGTTTTTGTTTTTGAGATGGAGTCTCGCTCTGTCATCTAGGCTGGAGTACAGTAGCACAATCTCAGCTCACTGTAACTCTCAGCCTCCTGGGTTCAAGCGATTCTCCTGCCTCAGCCTCCAGAGTAGCTGGGATTACAGGCACACGCCACCATGTCCAGCTGATTTTTGTATTTTTAGTAGAGACAGGGTTTCACCATGTTGGTCAGGCTGGTCTCGAACTCCTGACCTCGTGATCCGCCCACCTCGGCCTCCTAAAGTGCTGGGATTACAGGCATGAGCCACTGCACCCGGCCATGTTTGAGTTTTAAAGAGATTATTCCTGACACGGGGTGTAGAATGGACCCCTCCTCGGGCTGAAGGTGGATGTGTCCTTGGGTCTCAGTTCTTCTCTGCCATATTAGAGGATTAGACACAGTGATTTCCAAGGCTCAGACCCCTCTTAACATCTATCAAGCCTGCAACAGCGTTATTATCCAGGATACTTGCCACCATGGAGTATAAGCAGCACGGGAGGGCTTGTGAGCCTTTTTTGTACCAAGAGGGCTCAGAGCACCATCCATCAAAGCCTCTGACAATTACCTTCCCATTCCTAGTGTGGAGGTGGAAAGGTGTGATCCCTCTCCTCACTCATCACAACAACCACAGCTGACACACCTATAACAAAAAACAGGTTAACGAGAGAAAAAGCAAAACAAACGTATTTAGTCAAAGTTTTCCATGACATGGGAGGCTTCAGAAATGAAAACCCAAAGACCCAGGGGAAATTTTCTGTTTTTATGCTTAGGTTCAATGAAGAACAGATAGCTGTGTAGAAATATGATTAGGCAAAAGGGTATGAGCTAAGGCTAATAGACAGAAGGGGGACCCCAAAAAGGCCTGGCTGTTGGATTCTTCTTGGTCTCTTGTCTAGCACTCCTTCCTCACTCCTCCCTGGTACAGGGCAGGACCCTCTGGAACTAGGGTCTTAAGATCTGCTATCCAACAAGGTAGTTCAGAGAATTCTGTTATGGACAGCTCTATACAGAAAGGCAGGGGGAAGGTTAGAGCAACAATTCTCATTTCTATGGCTTGCCTTGGGGGAGAAAGGGGAGCAGGGGATAGAAAGGCAGGAGAGGGTCAGAGAGAACTTGCTTCTGAAGACCCTCCAATGTCCTTCAGTTTAAAGTCCCCATCATGCTAAGGTGCCATACCTTGGGGTCATGTTCTGAGTTCCAACCATGACCACCCCAGTGAAGGGGCAGGGCATAGCAAGGTGTGGGTGGGGGACCCTCTCTAGCAGATACAAGTCTGTGAGCTATTCTTACCCCACCTCACCAGGCTCCTCCAGGCTTTTCTGGCTGACCACTTATCCCAGCCCCAGAATTTGCTTACAGGACCACAGTTTATGGCAAGTTTCACCCTACTGTATAAAGTTTCAGCACAGTGGCTTGACTTGGCCAGAGATTTATGGCTGAAATGGAGCCTTTGGGCTTGGGTGTCAGCATTTTGCTTGGCTCAGAGGCTTGCATTCGCATTTGAACCAATCAATACATGCAGGCATTAAGTGGTATTTAGGCTGCCTCTCTAGGGAACAGGATGGGCTGCTGGAATCATTTGAGCATGGGCAGGGAGGATGCTTCTAGGACTGGGAAATCCCGGGAGCTCTGAAGTGGGGGCCCTGGATGAATGCCCCAACTCCAGCCCTGCTCAAGACTCAGGCCTCAAGCTGGAGGCAGACTGGACTGAAGGAGGGATCCCACAGAAACGGCCACATTTCAGTTTCAATGTTGTCTTTATCCTTCTCCATGGGGATGATGTATTGAAGAAAAAAAAAAAACCTACTGCATTGACTTGGCTTGAAAGAAAAGATTGTATTTGAAAAGAACAGATGGTGCTAAAAAGTTATTGGAAGAAAGAGAGAGTTAGGAAACCAAATTCCAGATTCCCACTGGCTGCTGGTGGGTGATGTGCCCACATCTCCTTACAGAAAGAGTTAGAAAGGCAAAATGATCACCTGGGACTCTAATCACAGAAAATCTACCACCCACCCTGCCAGAAAGATTGTCTGGCAAGTTTGTGGAGTGGAAAACCCCCACTGGAATCCCCTCCTGTGGTCTCTTCTCTAATTCTAAGTGATTCCTGGAATGCCAGCACCATCCACACTCTCTCCCCTCTCACTTCCCCTGCCCAGAATTCAGCTGGGTCCCTCCCCACAGCTCCCTGGTGAGGGATGCTCAGCAGATGCTGGAGGAGGAGGTGGCTTGCATGGGACCTAATCCAAAATTTAGAGAAACAGAAAGAGGAAATTCAGGATTCTCAGGGTCACTACTCTTGATTAGAAGTCTTCTCTTGCTTGATTTTTTTCTTTCTTTCTTTCTTTTTTTTTTTTCTGGTCTGGATAATCAGTGTTTTTTCCTTTAAAAAGAAGAAAAAAACCACTGATGCATCTTCTATATATTTTTTATACAAACCAGAGCAAAGAAGAATCCCTCTTAGACAATACTACTGGGACCAATTGTTGTTTGGGAATCAACTTAGATCCTTATATATTTTATTTTAATTTGCAACTTCTAAATGCATGTTAATCCACCAGTGCTTGATGTAGGGCCAAATTAGTGTGGTGTGGTCTGTTGATTAGAGTTCCTCATTGTCTTTCTCATAAATTACATTCATAACACCTCATCCATGATGTTCAGTATCCATTTCCTTAAAATGGAAATAATTTTTAAATACTTGTGAAGTAATCTGAAGGCTCTCTGGAGACTTTCCGGGTTTTTAAGATTTGTTTCCTGATCTTTCTGTTGCCCCATTCACACCTAATTCAACAGTAATTATTTGTGGTGACTCACCAGCTACCAGTCTTTCCAAAGTATTCAAATGTTCTCCTGCCTATTTCATCCACTTAATGAGTACAGCTGGCATAAACTGTTTTAGAAACTGTAGGGGCAGAAAGATGTGTCACTTTTCCTTACCCATCACAAGGGTCACTCTGGACACTCCTAGGACAAAAGACAGGAAAGCAAGAGGAAAGCAAAACAAATTTGTTTAATTAAAGTTTTACGTTACTTGGGAGCCTTCAGAAATGAAGACCCAATGTCTTTGTTTGGTTTGATGAAGAGTGAGCCATTGCAGAAGGGGATGGGACAGAAAGGGGATGATCCAGTGGTGACGGACTGAGGGGGAAACCTAGCAAGCCTGTGGGTTCAGATTCTCCTTGGCCTCCCTGTCTAACATTTCTTCCTCCTGGGTGTGGAGCAGGACCCCTATGGAATGAAGGTCTTCAAGGCAGCAGGGAGAGAATAACCATTCTAGTTTTATGGCTTGCTCCAGGGGAGAGGGGTGCTAGTTCCTATGACTGATTTTGGGGAAGAGGACTTCTGGTTTCTACAACTCACTTCAAGGGAGAAAGAGGGGCGAGAGACAGGAGGGGAAGAGAAGGTCAGACAGAACTTGCTTCTGAGGCCCTTCCAAGGTCCTTCAATTCAAAGGACTCAGCATGCCAAGGGGCCATACTTTTGGGTATCATGTTCCGAGTCTGACAGAATAAGCATAACTGACTCTCAGTGGGTGTGGAACTCAAATGATGGGAGTAGGGGGTCTAGGGGTACTAAAGAATAACCTTGAGCACTCAGTAACCTTGAACACTTAGTAACCTTGGGCATTCAGTGACCTTGAACATTCAGTGACCTTGAACACTCAGTGACCTTGAGCATTCAGTGACCTTGAACTTTGAGTGATCTTAAACACAGTAACCTTAAATACTCAGTAACCTTGAACATTGAACCTCAGTAACATTGAACATTCACTGACCTTTAACACTCAGTAACCTTGACCAGTCAGCAACCTTGAACATTCAGAGGGCACAGGGTATTTCACGGCATGTAAAATGTAGAGCTTGTGCTAATCCAGCAAGCAAATTAGTCACACGAAGTCCAGTTAAGAACATTTCTACTACTATGTTTTTCTTACAACTGTGGTTATGATCAGTCTACTCCTACTCCTCCCCATCCCGATTGCAATGATTTAGAGGCTAAGTCTGTAGAGGTAGACTCTTCGTCTCCTACCTTCTGGCCTGGTACACAGAATGAAGAAAAAATGCTCAGCCAGGGCCAGGGTGGACATCAGCCCCCAACAAGCCTGCATATTCCAGTCCAGATTCTGAAGATGCAGAGGTCGAGTAGAAAAGGAATAAGGTAGCCTGAGGCAACAATGAAAGGGGCCAAAATATCTACAGGATGCACCCTTTGCTAGTATGCTGTTCTTCAAGCACAACCCACCTCTGACCCACCAAAAGCTCTTCTAAAAAATGAGTTACTTGCATTTGGCATACATCTAAACCTATGTGCATTATAGTAGGAAGTGCCAGAGTTTTGAAGATAGTCTTGGGTTCACGTTGCCTCCTAGTACTTACTACATGAACCAGCTGTGTCAGCTCTCTAAGCCTCAAATTTCTCTCTTATAAAATGAGGATGATGATATGTTTCATGCATTTGTTAGGAAAATTAAATAAGATTTTCATATTTAATGGAAGGAGTCCTGAAACCTTTATGTCTGGAATGGGAGGCTCTTCTCCAAAACCCCCAAATCCCACCACACAGTCAATCTCTTATTTCACCTTCTTATAAGATCATCAGCCACACTGGATTTAGGAGAGAAAAGAAACACTAGCATAATAATAACAACAGCATCCGCTAATGCTTATTGAGTGCAAACTACATGCCCACATATCTCAACCCATGTGATCTTCACAATACCCCTTTATGAGTCAATTAGTATTCCCACTTCTTAATTACAAAATTCAGGCACAGAGAGGTTAGGTTAGGTAGCTGGCCTAAGGTCACACAGCCAATAAAAGGCAGAAGTGAGACTATAAAACTCTCAGTAGGTGTGGAACTCAAGTGATGAGAGCAGGAGGTCCAGGGGCCTGAGGTCACACAGCCAATAAAAGTCTGGCTGCTTAATTATTATATTTCTCTTGAAAGAAGGAAAGGAAAAGTGAGGGAGGAATAGAAGCAAGAAAGAGAGGAGGGAGACAGGGAGGGAGGGAACAAGGGAGGAGAGAAAAAAAGGGGAAGTTAGAAGAAGCTCAAAAGAAGCTAGGAGGCCGGTGCGGTGGCTCATGGCTGTAACCCCAAAGGAGGCACTTTGGGAGGCCAAGGTGGGCGGATCACCTGAGGTCAGGAGTTTAAGACCAACCTGGCCAACACGGGGAAACCCCATCTTGACTAAAAATACAAAAATTAGCTGGGCATGATGGCGCACACCTATAATCCCAGCTACTTGGGAGGTTGAGGCATGAGAATCGCTTGAGCCAGGAGGCGGACGTTGCAGTGAGCCAAGATCGTGCCACTGCACTCCAGCCTGGGTGACAGAGTGACACTCCACACCACCACCCCCCCCCCAAAAAAAAGAGGCTAGGAAAAGGAGCTCAGGACCATTTATGTTGTCTTTGTTCCGAAACATGAGAAAATAATTAAGGAAATGCAGTTTGGAACATCTTCTATGCCTCTACCCCAGGAAGGCCAGCCTACCTTCCAGATCCCCGTCACCCACATAACATCTCTGATGAAATGAAAACTGCTTTACAGCTGACAATGCTAAGGTCTCAACAAGCAGGCCTGCAGCCCCAGGGAACCCAGCCCTGCCTTGGCCCCCCCTACAGAGCCTGGAGCCCCCTTAGCCTCAGAGCAGCTCTTCTCCACGCTGGGCCATTGGAAGCCAGATCCCCTTTCGACCTGAAACCTCTTCCTTTCACAGCTGATCCTCTTCAGAGCACATTCATCTAACTTGTGGGAAAGTATGAAGGGCAAGTGAATAATAAAGCCAAGGCTACTTGGATAAAAGACTCCATGCCACACGCCATGTGTAATTATTATTACAGAAAATTAATAAGCAACAAAGGACCTCACACTAAAATTTACATTGATCTAGCATTTTTCCCCTGCTATCTCCCATAAAAATGCTTTAAATGCAGGCTGATTTAATGGAAACAGTAAAAAATTGTGCTGAATGGTTTATATTTGCTACAGAATTACTACAAAGTATATTTTAAGGAAAATTTGAAAGTTGTGTGTTTTTTTTCCCTGTAGGATAAGATTAGAGAGAGAGGTTCAAATGTTTTTTTTTTTTCTCTTTCTTTCTGTATTGATCCAGACAAACTCCCACAGGCTCAGTTCTTTGTTTCTAACAAATCTTTACACCTTCACACCTCGTCCAGACACTTGTCAAGAGAGATTCTTAGCAAAGACACATGTGGAGGAATGCCAGCAGTGTGGCTTGAGTCCTGACAGTGTTATGCTTGATAATAATCATCACCACGTGACTGTGTTCTATGTGACAGGGACTTGGCTGGTTATCTAGTTTATGTGGCTTTTGTCATTGTCGATCTCACCCGTGAGTTTGGGCATCCCAGCTAGGAGCTCAGTCACCATCCGAATGACTTGGCGCTCATGACCAGCACAGGACATGAGGATAGCCACATCTTGTAGCTTCAGGTCCCCAGCCATGTTCATCAGAGCCAGAAATAGGAATAAAGCCTCGGAAAAACAGTTTCTAACCTCAGGGAGCTTAAATGGCAGAATAAAATGGTGTTCTAAAGATTATAGAGGCATGCCAACCTGCATTTTAAACTCAGTTATAAGCAGCGCATATAGTAGACCTTTAATAAGTTTTAACTCTTGTTGGTCATATTATTAATGCTGCTGTAGGTAGTATTCATATTGACTTGGTCCAAGCCTGACCTGCATTGGAGAGAACATTTATGCAACAGATGGTAACTGTCATAGTTGAGAACTCAGGTATCCTCCAGGTCTCAATTACATAATTCTCCGGTTCCTTCTGATTCGCTCTTGGCAAATGGAGGCCAAGAGTTATGTGATGAGCTATGTAGTAATAATGCAACCGCCAAAGTTCCCCAGTCTTTGCATTTCTCCTAACAGGGAAGGCGTCATTATCATGTGAATAGATGACAGCTAGTGTTCATGAATTGACACGAACGTTTGGATTAACTCAGCTCCACTGCAATATAAATTTTGACCAAGAGTGTCAGAAACTCGTCTGATTTAACAGAAATATGTTCATTTGTCCTCTCAGTCAACAAATATTTTTTGAGTGTCTACGATGTATAAGGCATTGGAGACATGTGATGAATGATCCACCATTCTGGCATTAAGGAGGTGGGAAGGCAAGACACAGAAGTCATCCTTCCTGTAGAGGCCAATGAAAAACATTGGCACCTGCAAGATTGGACCACCTGTTCTCCAAACACACACTGTCTATGTGGCCTCTGCTCATGTGCTCATGCCAGTCTCTCTTTCTGCATTTCTGCATTGCCCTTTTCCTAATTCCTGACCCCTCTTCACAACCCGTCCTCAAGATACTCCTATCCTGACCATCCATTTGGAGACATCACTTTGGCCTCGGCTTTAATAGCATATGGTGCCTACACCTCTCACTCACCTCTCGTATGCTACCATTCACTAAAAATCTTGGTACCTATGTTTATTCTTTCTCACCAGTCTGTAAGCTCCTTGAGAACAAGGCTACATCCTAAACACTTCGCATCCCTAGAGCATCCAATACTTTAGCTAGTGTGCAACAATGCACCAGTAAATATCTGAGAAATGGAATGCGACTCAACAAATGCTAACCAAGAACTAGACACCAAGCATCTTTTCATGTCCTACAGGAAGATGCAAAGGTAAAGAAGAAGCTTTTACTCTAAGTGAGATGGAGGCCTTTGGAGGATTCTGAGAGGAGTGGTGATCTGCTATCATAGTCAAATCCTAATACATCTTGTAGGGATGTTCTAACATAATTTCTTGGGGTTGTATTTAACGTATAAAGATGCATTTAACCAAGTTTTTCTTTATTTAAACAAACGTGATGGCTGCTACTCATAAATTGCAATACCTTTCTCACCCTCTTTTACTATATTCCTTTCTCCTTTGACGCTCATAAATGAATTGAGATGCAGATATTTGCAAGGACCAGTGTCATTCCATGAAGAAAGCAGTGGTTTCCATAGGAATAGCTCCGCTTATGGAGCTCCTACCGTGTGCTAAGAATTATTACTCTGCATGCATCCTTCTCAAAAATCCTTACAACAATCCAGCAAGTTAGGCATTATGACCTCCATCTTAAAAATAGGGAAACTGGAGCTCAGAGGAATTAAATCATTTGCCTAAGGTCGTAGCTTAGGGTGGTGGATGGTGGAGCTGAGAGCTGAATCTAGGCCTTGCCTTGCTACACTGCAGCAGCTAAAACCATCTCAGAAAGGCATTCCTTTGAAAAGTATGTAGGGTGGGTTTGAGGGCACACTTAAGGAAGCCAGCCCTATGTCAACATGATGCCCACTGGGATATTGCACAGAAGCAAAGTATGATGTTCCCTGTCTTGTCAACTGCCACTCATGGTCCTCACGTGTTGTCATAAAGTGTCCCTTCATTCTGGGCTTAAAATAACTTGGTGCCTTTGCCCTCCTGAGTCACAGCTGCCAACCTTTCAAACTCATCAGCGGCTTGCCTTGTATCAGATGTGCCAGACAGTTTTCTTTAAACATATAGAGCTAAGCTGGTAGGGAGCTGTGGGAGGCTTAGAAATTCTTTTTGTTTCCATGTCAGAGCTTCTTGTGATTTTTTTGTAGATTTTTCTGACAAAGTATTTCACTATCTGGCCAGTGTGTCTATCCTGATAACCCAAATTGATGATGCCTCCAGCAATGCTAAGTAGACATATTCTTCTCTGTCTCTGAGATTTTAGGGAAATGAAATGCAATTGACTGTATAGACTGATCCATAGGTTGCATTGCCTCTTGTGCTTGCAGTCTTGGAGCAATAATATGCTTTATTTTAATCCTAAGTCTGCAGGTAACTCAATGTGTGACCTTGAGCAAGACTTCACTTCTCCAAGGAGGGTGAAACTGAGTCTTTTTGCAGAAATAAATCTGCGATTCTGTGATTAATCATTCTCCTCCCACCTCTGTGGGATATTATTTGTCCATTGGAGATTTCAGGGCTTTCATAAAATGTTTTGTTACTAGGACTCCTGCAATCAGCTAGGGAAGTATAGATATCAGATCAATAAGGGCCCTTAGGGAACTTTTAATTCAATGCCTGCATTTTGCTAATGAGGAAACTAAAACCCAAAGAGGTGCAGGGACTTGCCCAAGCCCACGCAAATCCACGACCGGAATCCAGGACTCAGCTCCCAATTCAGTGGCTTTTCTACATATCTCTTCTAGCCTGTAGGTCAGAAATGGACCTTGATATTCACAAGCCAACCCTCCTGCCTTTTTTGATGGACTCTAACATACTCATTATAATATAGGCACTCTGCAAAAATGGCTGGTCCGTGTTTTTCTCAAAAAATTCATGCAAAGTTGGAGGCAGAATACAATTGATCAGAAAACATCCAACATTTCAGGCATTTTTGGAGAGAAGTGCCTTATTCAAAGTCATCAGGCAAATGAGGGGCAGAGCCAGAACTGGAACCGGAGAGCTCCAGAGAGACACAGGGAAGATAATGGATTGTGACAAGCTGTCCATACAGTCCCCTGACTTCCTAAAGTCCAGATGGACACCCCACACTGTCACATTGATTGATGGAAGCACCAGTGATAAGACAGTCACAAATCCCCAACACATGGAACCAGCTGTACGTTTGTCTCCAGGAGGCTCTAGGTCAGAACATAACCTTCCCTTCTGCAAGCCTAAGTAGAATTGCCACCAGCCGAAGGGACAAAAGCAGGACCCTAATAGGCTCATTCTGTGACCACTTGGGTGTAAGCAAAGAAAATGGAGGCAGACCAAGAAGAGAGTTTAGATTTGTTTTTCACTGGGTTTTTGGCGTTCTCTTAAACAAATCTGACCCTAGATATAAGCTTGCCCTTTTCTAGTCCCAACTTCCCTGGATATAAAATACATGTTTGGCAACTGCTCTGAAAGTTATTAAAGTTGCAGCAGTAAACTATGGGAGGCCAGAGAATTTCAGACAAAAGTTATTGCATCGGTAACTCAGAAACTAATTCCTAAAACTCTTGACACATTTATCCAGAGGGCTAGTGCCAATATAGAAATGGAAATCATTGTCAAGGGCCGCTGTGTACCTGGAATTAAAATCCATCATTTCTCAGAGCAGAGAGCTATGATTTTGGCAGAATATGAATACTCCTGCCTTTCACCACTATCTTTCCTCAAAAATAGGTCCTTTATTTTTCAGAAGAACAAGACAAATTCGGCTCTTTTTGTCTTTTTGTTTATCTCCTTAAGAACCACTTGTTTACATGTTCTTCTCAAATATTGCTATCTTTGACAGTCCCTCATTTAAACCGAAAGCCCTCCTTTTCCTTCAATTGCACCAGTTTTATTGTGGATGGAAATCCTGCTGGGTACGGTAACAGAGAACAAACTTTACAGCAGCAATAATCCCTTCTACAGCATCTATTGTGGGGAAACTCAATACACTTTTATTAAATGGCTGAAGAATTAGCTTCAGTGACCTGAATTAACTACAGAGAGAAAAGATAGGGAAGAAGACTACCTCCTTCATTCAGCAGACACCCACCGCATGCCAGAGACCAGAGACATAAAGCTACCATCCAGGAGCACCGCGCTGAAAGAGATGGTGGATGGTCTTAGGCGATGCCTTCATCACCAAAAGTTAGCAAAGGCAGAAAAGATTTGGTGGGAATTAGTGTTAGCAAGCGCATGCAGAAATGGGCCCCCGATTTACTGTGGCAGGATTGACGATATGCCTAAATGTGCACACATTTTGACTCTGATTCTAAGAATTTGTCCTTAGGCCGTATTTAGATAAGTACACAGAGTTAGCTTTGGCATAATCATGATCAAGAAAAAATCAGAAGCAATGCACAGGTCATTAAAAATGCAATCATTAAAATGATACTGTAATCTATATTGTCTTGTGACATACCATCAAGTGAGAAAGTGCAACCACAGAGTATATGTACTATGGTCTCATTCATGAAAAATTAAAATGGATTAAAATGGACAGGTTGGGCTTGATGCAGTGGCTCACACCTGCAATCTCAGCACTTTGGGAGGCTGAGGCAGGTGGATGGCTTGAATCCAGGAATTGGAGACCAGCCTGGGTAAGACAGTGAGACCCTGTCTCTGCAAAAAAATGCAAAAATTATCCAGGTGTGGTGGCTCACAGCTGTAGTCCCAGCTACTCAGGAGGCTGAGGTAGGAGGATCACCTAAACCTGGGGAGGTTAAGCCTGCAATGAGCTGTGATCACACCACTGCACTCCAGTCTGGACCATACAGCAAGACCCTGTCTCAAGACAGAAAAAAAAAAAAAAAAACAACCTGACAGGTTGTTTCCTTAGGTGGTGACTATGGTTATTGCTGGACAATGGTATTCTAGGTGACTTTTACTTTCCATTATCAGCCTTTCTGAATAGTTGGATTTTCAATGCTTTTTATTTTTTACAGTGAGCATCACTTTATATTTAGGGGGTGGAAATATTTAAAAAAATTTATTTAATGGAAAGCTAGTTTTTCCCTTAATCCTTTACCACTTGTACTGCCATACCAAAGCCCAACCTACTGGTAAAAAAAAAAAAAATGTGAAATATTGTGATGATTTCATAGATGTATAAATAAGCCAAAACCCACCATCAAATCATACACTTTTTTTTTTGAGACAAGAGTCTGTATCGCCAGGCTGGAATGCAGTGGCGATCTCTGCTCACTGCAACCTCCACCTCCCTGGTTCAAGTGATTCTCCTGCCTCAGCCTCCCTAGTAGCTGGGACCTCAGGTGTGCACCACCATACCCAGCTATTTTTTGTATTTTTAGTAGAGACAGGGTTTCACCATGTTGGGCAGGATGGTTTCAATCTCTTGACCTCATGATCCGCCCACCTTGGCCTCCCAAAGTGACACTTTTTGTACATGTAATTTATTATACATCAATTATACCTCAATAAAATTGTTTTTAAGGAAAGAAAATATCAAATAATCTAGGTAATTTTTATTTTACACACAAACCACTCAAAATAAGTAAGTAAATAAATCCACACACACACACACACTCGCAGACATTTATGAATCAATGCTGGAAAGTAAATTCGATGGTCCAATCAGTGACAGGAGGCTATTTCAAGAGGTTAATAGCATGAGCAAGGTGTAAAAGTGTTCATTTAATTTATTCTCTATTCTCTGACAGTGTCAGTATCCTTGATTATAGGTGGGTGCCGAGCTCGCCATTTCACCTGCTTCCATCTTTTTCTGTTGGCACTTTTTGCAAAGTCCACGTCAGTCTTAGGTACCTTTTACCCCAAAATACATGCTTCGGTGCACTTTAATTTTCCTGCAGTAAATAAATAGTTCTTACTAGCTTCCGTCTTAAGTAACTGTAGAGCAAACCTGAGGGTTCCGAGACTTTCTATCAGATAAAATTCTGAAAACCAATCATTCTTTCTAGAGATAATTTTGAATAGAGTGATACATGTTTTGAAGACATTTCCTTGAGTCTACTTACTGGCAGGTTTTCTCAACTATATATATTCTTTCTTGTGATACTAGCTACTCAAATAGTCCAAAGAGCTGCATTTGCCTTAAACAGAATATGACAAAAGGAATGCCAGTGGTGAGACTGGGTTCGTGAATTGGATCTCTAAGTTTGTTGGACTAAAAGGAAATAAGTATTTGCATGTTGCTGTCAGAATCACTGTCCTCAGTGCCACTTCGAGTCCCATCTCTTGGTGCCCATGAAGAATGTGAGTCCTGAAGTCCCTGCAAGGACATGACCCTGTCCACATGTTAGGCCTAATTCTCATATCTGTTTCTCTATGCTTTTCTCCTCTGTTTTCCAATGCAACCAGTTGGACAGTGCTCCAGGGAAGAATCGGGCGTCCAGACAACCCATTTCGAGTGGCCCTGGAATACATCTCCAGTGGAAACCGCAGCTTGTCTGCAGTGGACTTCTTTGCCCTGAAGAACTGCAGTGAAGGTATCTGAATCTGGCTTTCCCACGCTCCTTGGTAGCCTATTGTGTTAGATGTGTCAATAACCTGCAACCATGTTTGGCTGGGAATGTGCACACTTATGAAGAAAAGTCTAGAGTGGGCTGGGTGCTGTGGCTCACACCTGTAATCCCAGCACTTTGGGAGGCCGAGACGGGTGGATCACTTGAGGTCAAGAGTTCAAGACCAGCCTGGCCAACATGGCAAAACCCTGTCTCTACTAAAATTACAAAAATTAGCCTGGTGTGGTGATGTGCGTCTGTAATCCCAACTACTTGGGAGTCTGAGGCAGGAGAATTGCTTGAACCTGGGAGACAGAGGTCACAGCGAGCCAAGATTGTGCCGTTGCACTCCAGCCTGGGCAACAGAGCGAAACCCAGTCTCAAAAAAAAAAAAAGTCTAGAGTGTTTTAGGGGCTAGTTCTGAATGATACCAGGTGATCCATATCCCAGATAATCAATTTCAAAGAGCTGGTATAAAATGATATCTACCTTGAGAACACATAGGCACATAGAAGGGAACAGCAGACATTGGGGCCTAACGGAGGGTGGAGAGGGAAGGGTGGGAGGAGGGAGAGGATCAGGGGCCCAAGAATGAAGCGTGGACCCAGAGGAAGCCTGAGGCACTCCCAGACCTAAATTCTCAATTTAGGCTATTCCTGAATAACTTTGAAGGCCCATGTCCCACAGTCATCTGTTCCATGTACAGGCCTGGATTTGAACTTTGTGCCTCTGGGAAGTGGTGTGTGAAAGGGATTCTCTTAGGGAGGAAGCCCTACTGACCCCTCACCAACCCAGCTTCTTTTGCCCCTGTGGCTCTTCATTTATTGCTGGCTTTGCAGGAAATTTTATAGTGTATTTTGTTTTCGTTGTTTAATCAAAACTGGTTTATGTGTGGGGAAAAGAAAAATCACCATAATGTGATAGATTGAACCACAGTTCAAGTTGAAAAGGTGGTTAACCTATGATATGAGGCAATGTATAAGAAACATGTGGCTTGGGAGCAAGCCAGGAGCTTGTACAAATGTTTCCGCACTCATGAACTTGAAGATTTGTGAATGTCTCTGGACATCATCAGTCCTCACAGATGTCAAGGATCTATGTACCATACAAAAGAGGCCATCTGTTGAAATGGAACCAGTTAACAAGAATGTGGCAGGGAGAAAGTATCAATTCCCAGAATGTTCTCATTTGATCATCATTAGGAAAAAGGAATAAGAAACTGCAAAAGTCCAGATATCAGGCCCACAACAAATACTCCTGCAAAAATTTCTTGACCTGAAAAAAATTCTTTGCATGTTAAAATCAAGGATCTCAAGCTATAGATGTTTTCTCCCTTGCCCTGCAACTCCCTCTCACCTAAAAACATTCATCCCCCATAGCCTGTGTTGCATTCGCAGTGAGTCTGTTCCAGAGACCCGTTCCTGTCTGCTTTTCTATCTTTACAAAACCAATAGAGTTGACCTCCCTAAAATCTCTCTAATTTTTTCTAATCTTTCTAATCTCAGAAAGTCTCCGCTGGCAGGGCACCCTCTTAGAGGAGGGAGAAGATGAGTCTTCCTCTGATTCCCTAGAGAAAGTGGCTTGGCCCAGATACCTGGGGAAGTTCTCATGGTCCAGCTTCCTTCTTTCAGTGGCTCTAGCTCCAAGAACAGATGGTCTCCATGAGGAGGCAAATGTTCTCTGTGATTCTTCTCTGGGTCAGACCGCCTGTGGTCAACAAGGGATGGGGAGGGATTGATTGATACGGATGTGTAAGGCAGAGAATAGTGAAGAACAAGGTGATCTCAGTGTTTGCTTAGAACTTCTAAATTTCCTTCCCATAGAAGACAAATTCAGGTGCGCATCAGTAGGCATAGACAAATTGCAGACATAAGAATCATCCTAAAATTACACTCATATTTAAAGGGAAGGGGTTACTTTAAAGGCATACTCAATGTCTATTCGATGTAGGCAAATGTCTATGTTTTCTGGGGTCATTGCTTTGGTTAAGCCAGAAGAAGAGGGGATAAAAGGAGAAAAATGGTGTCTTTGAAGGAGGTGAATAGGGCTGGCAACATTACTGGCCAGGACTGTAGGAAGGTCTGCAGGATGCCTGGTCTATATTTCTGATAAGAACTTGGTCCCTTCATGATGAGGCACAGATGGAGCACAAGGGGAAACACAACTGTAGAACTCCACAGCTCTTCCTTGGCCCACAGCAGAGACGTGCCATTTTAGTTCATCTGGAGAAGGCTCAAGGAGACATGGGACAATTCTCCCCGCATTGGAGACAATATCTATCTGTGGGTGTCATCAAGACAGAGGCCATGCCTGTATCCTCTCTACATCCTTACACTTATCACAGTGTGTGACACTAGGTAGGTGCTCAGTTCATCTCAGTTGATATGGACTAATAGCAAAAAGCTAACATTGACAGAGCACTCGCCATGCGCAAAGCCAAGTGTCAATGCCTTTATGTGTTACATCATGCAAGCTTTACGATAATGCTGTAAAGCAGGGACTAATATCCTCATTTTACAGATGGGGAAACTGAAGCTCACAGAAGTTTCAAAACTTGCCAGGGTCATTCAGTTAGTGAAAAGTAGAGTCAAACTCGATCCCAAGTTGATCTGATGACAAAGCCAGTGTTTCTGTCCACTAGCCTCTGCTGCCTTTGTGGAAGAGGCTGAGGTTTCATTTATTTCCTGAAAACCTTAGCATCATCTTTGACTCTTCCTGTTCCTTTTACCACTACACCCAAATTGCCAGAACCTTTACCTCTAGACTTGCTTTTGCCTGTATTCTATCTGTCTCTGTCTAGATACTTGATATGGTTTGGATTTGTGTCTTCCCCTTCCCACCAAATTTCATGTTGAATTATAATCCTCAGTGTTGGAGGAGGGGGCTGGTGGGTAATTGGATCATGGAGGAGGATCTCCCTCTTGCTATTCTCGTGATAGTGAGTGAGTTCTCATAAGATCTGGATGTTTAAAAGTGTGCAGTGGGCCAGGCACGGTGGCTAATGCCTATAATCCCAACACTTTGTGAGGCTGAGGTGGGCGGATTACCTGAGGTCGGGAGTTCGAGACCAGCCTGACCAACATGGAGAAACCCCGTCTCTACTAAAAAAACAAAAAACAAACAAACAAAAATTAGCCAGGCGTGGTGGCACATGCCTGTAATCCCAACTACTCAGGAGGCTGAGGCAGGAGAATCGCTTGAACCTGGGAGGCGGAGGTTGCGGTGAGCCAAGATGGCACCATTGCACTCCAGCCTGGGCAACAAGAGTGAAACTCCGTCTCAAAAGACAAAAACAAAAACAAAAGTGTGCAGCAGCCAGGCAAGGTGGCTCATGCCTGTAATCCCAGCACTTTGGGAGGCTGAGGCAGGTGGATCACGAGGTCAAGAGATCAAGACCATCCTGGCCAACATGGTGAAACCCCGTCTCTACTAAAAATACAAAAATTAGCTGGGCATGGTTGTGGGCGGCTGTAGTCCCAGCTCCCCGGGAGGCTGAGGCAGGAGAATCACTTGAACCCAGGAGGCAGAGGTTACAGTAAGCTGAGATCGTGCCAGTGCACTCCAGCCTGGTGACAGAGTGAGACTCTGTCTTAAAAAAAAAAAAAAAAAAAGTGTGCAGCACCTTCCTCATTGCTCTTTTCCTCCTGCTTTAGCCGTGTAGGATGTGCCTGCTTCCCTTTTGCCTTCTACCATGATTGCAAGTTTCCTAAGGCCTCCCCAGCCATGCTTCCTGTACAGCCTGTGGAACCATGAGCCAATTAATCCTCTTTTCTTTATAAATTACCCAGTCTCAGGTATTTCTTTACAGCAGTGTGAGAATGGACTAACACAATACTACTGTTGCTGTCTCTTGGATATACCCTTCTGACTTCATATTCCCAGCTGTGTGTCTTATTCTTTCTATATTCTTCATATACGCAGACTTGAATTTTGGCAGCAGCCAACTGGTCTCCCTGATACCATTCCATCTTCCACACGTTGCCAGATAAATCTCCTCAATATTACTCCTTCTTTTGTGGCGCTTTCATGTGACATAGGTCATTTCTTATTGCCTCCCACATCAGAAAATAATAGAAAAAGGGGCCTATACTGGACCACCTTACTCATTTCCTGGGGCCAGGAAATGTCATTTGCAGCCACAGAAATTCTCCTTGGAAGACTTTATACTCTACATCTAAATTTAGTAGGTGTTTTATAATTGTTTCCAATTTAATCATTTTGGGATCCTAACTTGAAGTTCAAGACCTTGTCTTACATTTCTTTTATTTCTCCAGGGAGCAGCTAGCATGGTGCTAAACACACAGAAAACACCACACGAATACATGTTGACTGATTGGTTAATCAATCAATTGATAAATGCTGCACCTTCTTTTATAGCTTTGGGCTATTACCCTACTACTTCCAAAAGAAAGTAGCTGTAAGTAGAAATGGCTTGGAAGAGATTTTTCACTGAAAGGCCAGTGAAAGAGCAGCTTACACAATCAGCACAGGCAAGAGAGACATCAGCCCCCAGAGACACCCATGCCTGGGCTCCCAGGGAACCCTTAGCCCATTCACAAAAACCTTTCTTGAGCAGACAACCCAGAGCAATAGGATCACGCAGGACACTCACCGGGACCCCTCAGGTTCAGAGGTGCCTACAGCAACACATACGTCAGAATGGGAAAGACTAGCTTCTTGAAAGGGATTTGAAAAGGACCAGTGTGCCAGGCGTGGTGGCTCATGCCTGTAATTCCAGCACTTTGGGAGGCCAAGGTGGGTGGATCACCTGAGGTCAGGAGTTCGAGACCAGCCTGGCCAACGTCGCGAAACCCCATCTTTACTGAAAATACAAAAAAAGTAGCCAGGCATGGTGGCATGCACCTGTGGTCTCAGCTACTCGGGAGGCTGAGGCAGAAGCTTGAACCCGGGAGGCAGAGGTTGCAGTGAGCTGAGATGGCACCACTGCACTCCAGCCTGGGTGACAGAGCAAGACTCTGTCAAAAAGAAAGAGAGGGAGGGAGGGGAGGGGAGGGGAGGATCAGCATGGCCCTGAACAGCTCCTAAAAATGCACAGCATTGCAAACCCTCATCTAGCTCTTCCATGCACTAGGCCCTGTTCTAAGCATGGTACATATATTAACTCATTCAATCCTTACAACAATGCTATGAAGTATGTAATATTATTCTTATCATTATTATTCCCATTATTATGGATAGAGAAATCAAGGCACGGAGACCTAAGTAATTTCCTCAAAGTCACACAGCTGGTATTGAAATGGAGGCCATCTGGCTCCAAAATCCATGTTCTTAGCTACCACACCTTGCAGTTTGCACAGAAGATCTCTGCTGGAAGGGACACCAGAAATATCTAATCTGTCTCCCTTGCCATGTAGAAATTGAATGAACAAAGACCCAATGATTTTCCTTGAAATGTGATACACTAAATTACTGACCAGCCCAAGGTGCTTTCTGCCTCCACCTTATGGTTGTCAAGTTCTCAATTTTTCTAAGAAATCAATTCAGTATTTCCCTTTCCCAGCTCAGATTGTTCAGAGGCAGTTGAAATGGACCACTGCCACTAGTCAATATGAAGACAAAGAGCTGCAAAGGAGCTCCCCCATGAAAAACAAGGAAATGTAGATAGCTCCTGTGTGAGCCTACATACATTTTATAGCAGGCCACTATATCTCCTCTTCTCTTTCAGGAACCTACAAAAACACATCTGAGGTTTCCCAGGCCACAGCCACATTCAGCTCACTAACAGATTTCTCAAAAGAAGTAATCTTCTTGGTTCCTTACTCTACTGAGATAATTTCATACACATTGCTTCTGATTCATTCATTAGAGAGGATGTCATAACCTTCACCTTACCCGTGAGAAGTTATTTCTCTAACTTCTCTGGCTCAGGAAGGTGAAGGTATCCAAAGTCAAATGCAGTCCCATTATTATGGATACCTTGAAACACATGTCCCCAAAGAGTCTGAGATGCACAAATACCATTTTTTAACTTCTCCGGGGCTAAAATGAGGGTGTTTGAACTCTCTTCAAACCTTTTCTAGAGCCTGAAGCCTTAATTAAAACAAAGTCTTATATGGAAGCCCAGTATATAAAATGATACAAGTACAGCTGTCTTTGGGGGCGCCTAGAACCCACCTGTTCCAGAGCCCTTGACATTCCCCCTCAATGGGGCTTCATGAAATACATTTTAAGAACCATTGGACAGTCTGATTCTAAGCTCTCTCTTTTTTTTTTTTTTTTTTGAGATGTAGTCTCACTCTGTTGCCCAGGCTGGAGTACAGTGGCGCCATCTCAGCTCACTGCAACCTCCACCTCCTGGGTTCAAGGAATTCTCCTGCCTCAGGCTCCTGAGTAGCTGGGATTACAGGCGCAAGCCACCACGCCTGGCTAATTTTTGTATTTTCAGTAGAGACGGGGTTTCACCATGTTGGTCAGGCTGGTCTCGAACTCCTGACCTCGTGATCCGCCCACCCTGGCTTCCCAAGTGCTGGGATTACAGGTGTGAGCCACCACGCCCGGCCTCAGCTCTCCTATTAACTCCAGTTTTTATGGTCTGGTCCTAGATGTTACACTTATTTAAAATATGAAAACCAAAAATAGGTATATTAACTGTATCTTATTTAAAAAATTAGGGCTTAGCACAAGGCTATTAGACTTTGAATATGGGCCATTTTCACAAGGCAAGTTCTTGTCCAGGTGGGTTCTGGCTTTGAGGTGCTGGATATGTAGCTAGTATAAATATTTCCAGGAAAAAATGGGTAGCATCCTGTAACCTTGTCCCCCTCTCTCTCCTTCTTCTCCACCAAAGACAATGTTGGGCAATGGAAGATGTCTTTCTTAGCCTGAAAGGGGACAAGAGGAAACGAAAGAAGCTGAACAAATAGATTCAAATCTTTGGCCAGCCATGTGGAACCAATCAACATCTAGAGTAGGCTCCAAAATCCAGCTGGGTAAATGAGGGATTACTTCATGGGCTCCTAGCAGCCTGGCCCAAACTGGGCATTTTCTCTTCCAACAGCAAGCAACGCCTCAGCAGGATCCTCAGTCTGTGCTTGTAAAATGTAGATCACAGTGGCACTCTGTCTTGGGGCTGCCAGCAGCAAACTCTGTATGTAGCAGGCTCAGCTATCCATCCATCCATGCATCCACTCATCTATGCCACAGACAGTTTCTGAGCAAGTACTAAACTGGGTACATGCTAACATTAATATAAAATAGTTGTTTCTGTCTTAGGACTGAATTTTGGTGTGGTTCCTTTAACATTTCCATTCTACTTCACATAGAACTCTTTCTTAAAGGGCATCTTTGAGTTATATTTAATTTGCACCCTAACCCTAACCCTAAGGGTTGTAAGGGTTTGTGCAAAGTAAGTGCAAATCTTACGAAGAGTTTGTAAGAGTTAAAGAAAGAGGAAAGAAACACAAAATGCGGCTCAATGGTTAAAAACAGATTTATTTTAGAGAAAATAAACCTGAGAGGGGCTTCTGGCCAATTTTGGTCAGGAGAGCTTTCTCTTACAGACTAAGAGTATATATTGGTTTTACAGTGAGCAGGCTTATCACAAGCTTGGAATGTTTCTGTGTGGGGGAGAAGTTTATGGGGGGTTGGAATTTCTCTGGACGGAGGAGAGGTTATCTTGGGGCTGACATCTTTCCGGCCAGAGGGAGACTATCTCGGGGCTAGCATGTCTCTGGTTGGGGAGGAGTTTGGAATGTTTCTGGTCAGAGATGTTATTTGTGGTTTATGGTCATGCTGACCTTGGCCATTAGGCTGATGTCCTTTGGATTTAGGTGGTTTTTGATTAAGATGAACTTTAGGATGAGGTGCTTGTCCAAGATGGCAGTGCTCCTCCTCTGTCAGTACTGAATAGGTGTTCCATTCCTGGAAATGTCTTCCTCCAAAGCAGTTCCAACATTCCTTTCTCAGAAAGACCACAGAATGAGCACTGAACCAGAATCAGAAAACCTGGATTTAAGTCTCCTTCCTACCTCTTACTTGCCATAGACTAGCCATCACACTTCAAATCATTAAAGATTTCCCTCATAACTGGAACATAGATTGGGTTTTTGTGGGGTTTTTTTGTCATTTAAAATAGAGATAGGCCAGGCGCAGTGGCTCACACCTGTAATCCCAGCACTTTGGGAGGCCGAGGCGGGCAGATCACGAGGTCAGGAGATCAAGACCATCCTGGCCAACATGGTGAAACCCTGTCTCTACTGAAATACAAAGAATTAGCTAAGCATGGTGGTGGGCGCCTGTAGTCCCAGCTACTTGGGGGGCTGAGGCAGGAGAATGGCATGAACCTGGGAGGCAGAGCTTGCAGTGAGCCGAGGTGGTGCCACTGCACTCCAGCCTGGGAGACAGCGAGACTCCGTCTCAAAAAAATAAATAAATAAAAATAAAAATAAAATAAAATAGGGATAACAACATGTCAGTAGTTGTCTCAAAATTGACCTCATGCTGAGGGTCAGTGAGAAGGTGGCTGTGGAGGTGCCTTGTAAATGATGCCATGAGCTACTTAACCTCTCTGGGCCTCACCTCGCCTGAAGCTTTTGAGAACTAACCTGCTTCCTTGCTGCTGCTGTTTCTCATGAAGAAATTACCATTCACAGAAACAAACTGGCTCCTCTGAGGCCTCCTGCAGAGCTTTGTGATGTTAATTATTGACCTAATGCCAAGAGGGTGATGAGAGCCACACACTGCCAACCTGGGGAGGTGCCACCACCTGGAGCAGTCACTTCAGGGCACTCAATCAGCCGTGCAATGGTGAGCTCTATTGCTTGGAAGTGATCACCAAGGAGAAATCGCAGTCACGACCTTAGTATCCTCACTTAGTTCTAGTGCCTATCTCCAGGTGGATGTTCAACTCCATTTTAAAAACGCTCTCCTTCTAAACTCCCTATTTCCAAAATCTCCTGCCCTTAACTTACCGTGGACTGAACCATTTAAAAGATAAGCATGAAAATTATGATTTCATCAGCCACTGAGATCTGCTTGCATTTCTCAAATGTCCCTCCCCAGCTCAAGCTTTGGTTCCATCTGCGCCCCCTGCAGCGCACCCTCCACCTTTCAAAGACCTGCACATCTTTCAAATCCCAGCTTAAATAGTATTTTCTCTAAGTCTCCACTCAGAATTGTTTCCATGTATATCTATTTTAGAACCGTCTACTTCTCTCCAGTTATTTATGTGTCTCACTCAATAGATGCTAAGTTCCTAAAATCAAAGACTGTCTTTTTTTAAAATCTCTGTATCTCAATTAGCAGTGAAGTGCTTTTTTTTTTTTCATGGCAAGCACTCAATAAAGGTTTGCTTATTCCAATGTAGGAGAGAGATTAGAGGCTTTAGAATCAGACTGAATGTATTTGGATGCCAGCTCCATCGCTCACCACCTTTTTGAGCTTGGAAAAGTTTCCTAAATCTATGAGTTTTCATTTTCTCATCAGGAAATACATAATTATAGGTTTTTTGGGAAATTAAAACAGATGTTGCGTGCAGAGCTCCTAGCACAATGCTTGGCACAATACGTATTCTCATCCTCTCTCTGGCATCCCTTGACTAAGCTGAATCTCCTAATTCTGGAACCAGAGCTGAATAATTCTGCACAACTATCCTGGGGTATGTTTACAGGTTCACATCTGCCTTTTGCCTTTCCATCTGCGCCTTGCCTGAGCCATTATGCAAAGGGAAAATTTACCTCTTTTCCAGCAGAGATTCTGACAGCCCAGACTTGCTTTCTGATTGCAAAGGCAGCTGCTTCTCTTGCCTCCTAAGACCTATGCTCTTATGCCTGATAAAGTCATTTTTTTACCTTGGTCACTGGGTGCACAGAGTCCTTTGTGCCACACAAAGGAGTAATCCTGCTTAATTCTGTAGAGGTAGTTGGAGGCAGGAGAGAGGTCTTTTCAAATGCCTGTCACACTGCCTCCCTTGAGGAAGACTGGAATCCAAAACAGTCAGGCCAAAGCAGGTGGAACCAGGAAGGAAATTCGCTGGTCTTTCCTTTCTCTACCAGTGCCTAGCTACTGTTGGCAAAGAAGTTCTTACTTTGGAATGGCTTATCCATAATTATTAATAAAGCCAATTTTAAAATGCCCCATGAAGTGCTTAGAAACAATGCCTGCTTGGGCAACTATTTTAAATATTCGATCATTGGAACTTGCCCAGAAATGGGGGCAGACACAAAGGTTTTTAAATATAAATAAATAAAGAATGAGTGTGCCGAGGTCATTGTACTCCCAGAAGAAAATTACTTTCAAATTACAACTACATAAAGGAAATAATTGAAAAGATTAATCACACTAAAATAATTGGTCTATTTTACAAGTAATTTGGAGCAATACTCAGTCATTGACATCAATGTCTGGTAGTAAAATAGTAATGAATTTCATTCTCTAACTAATGTATTTATTTTATTAATGGTAATAAATGGTGTTGTTACCGCTTATAAATATTTCATAACTTTTAATTCATTAAAATGTTCAATGAATTTCCAAAAGTATTTATTAGTTTTACATCATCCTTAGTATTCAATGTGCAATTGCCACTCTGCCTGGGTAATTAAAAATATTATTGTTTTGGGTAATGGGACTCCCTTTGAATGTGAAGGATTAGGCTCCAGTTATTAATGAGACGGATGCTCCAGCTGGTGATGGGGAAGGGGCTTGGGAAGATGTTTTCTCTTTAGGTCGCTAAGAGCTCTCTGGAATCGTTCCTTAAAAAAAATGTGGCTGTGAAGCAAACAGGGTGGACCCAGATAAATTAATTCCAGATGTGATCAGAGAAATGTCACTTTAGACATTGGTTCCAGTTCACCACCTGTCCCACACCATCTCCGTCTTCCTGAAACAACTGACAGCAGGATTCAAACTTTCCAACCTCACCTCTATCTCTGTTTTATTCTCCAACATTAGAGGTCATAAGGAGTGAAATGGCCAAAAAGATGCAACAGAAAGAAAAGCAAGGGATACAGCATCATGGACAGTGGAAAGAAGATATAGGACTTGGAGAAGAAAAACGTGGACTTGAATCCTGAGTCATTTGGGTGCTACATGTCCATTACATCCTGTGGTACCAGATAATTCACGTGCGAAATGAAGACAGTGACACCTATCCCTGGGTCCATGTGAGGATTAAATGGGATACTGTGTGCCTCACCTGACACAGTGCCTGGAACCTAGTGGAAAATCAAACTGGGTTAGCTCTACCATTCCCTGTGTCCAAATTGCAGATCATGGTATTGTTGGCCCAGTGGCCTTGGCGGCTCTTCATTAACTAACAATTGATACAAACAATTGGTATGAGTCATCAAGAAAAACTGGACCAACAGTGAACTAGTACAACTCAGGATCGGTGAAGTGAAATGGCATCCCCTGGAAGAAGGACTAGATGACTCAGCTCTCAGCACCTTACCCTGTAGGTCTGAGATTCAGCTCACTGTAGTACTTCCAGAGCCTCTCCATACAGGAGGCTAAAGGCATTTGGCTATGGACAGGTTGAGAGGTACCAACAGGTGGGTTGGGGTAAAGTGGGGCCAGCACTCACACTTAGATGTTTGCACCTGCAGGATGTGTAGCAATGCTCCCAAAGCATGCAAACCCAAAGAATCAGTGTGGCTCATCTTTCAAGAGCTTCAGTTTTACCAAAAGATTGGAGTGGAGGAATATTTTTTAATTTAAACTAGCATGGCTATGTATTGAGTTCCAATGCAAACTGCACGCAAATGTTAAGATAAAGCATCGAAGACCTTCCCTGCTCATAGTGATTACCCACACTCTGAGTGGTGGCTTTACTCTTCTTTGCCATTTGGGACACATCAGAGGGGACAATAGTAAGGCATCACTCCAGGGTGGACAGAGGAACATGAGGAGGAGGTGCAGCCAGGCCTGGGATCACCAGCTGGAGAGGAGAGCCAGGGAGTAGTGTGTCTTCTCAGTGCAAGCCATTGGCAGGTGCAACAGTGGGCAGGATCCTGAGGTGACACCAGAGACTAGCAGGGGGTCCAATCTCCCAAATCAGGCAGAGAAGTGCTCAGTTTCTAAACTGACGTACCAAGTCAGAACCAAACCCACCAAACATTAGATATAAAAGTCTCCTGTGATTGGCCTAAAGTATCATAAATGTCCCCAAGGACAGAATTGATCTGTTGATTTGTTTTGTTTGTTTGGTGGGGTAGGGTGGGGAAGGGTGAGGTGGGGAGAGGTAAGCAAGGACTGAACCTTTAGCTGAAGATCCTGGAGACATTTTACTTCCTCCCTACCCAGACCCCTGGACAGAGCTCCTCACACCAGGATCTGTGGGAAGCTCACGCTGAAGTCTTCCAGAGTGAAGGGCTTTGTGCAGGGAGTGAGGGAGCCTTTTGCTAGCCGAGGGGCATAGCCTAGGAGTACCAGAAAGTGTACTGCTGGGATTTGATGATGGTTCTCTTTTTATTCTGGTTATTTTAAAGTTCTGGCATTTTCTGTCTTCAAGTTATGCTGAGAGCACGGTTTTTGTGGAACTTTATTTTGCCCTTCTGGTTGAGATTTGTTTGGGGAGGAAACATTGGCAGACAGTTGCTGGGCAGCGGCCCAGAAGGCCCCTCAATGCACAATTTGCAAACCATAGAGCAAATGGTCTCGGAGATCCCTCCTTCCCTCAGCTCCAACATTATGGAGTTCTATGATCAGCATTTGGGTGGATATAAAGTCTTTCAGCTTTTGCTGCTTCTGCTTCTTCCTTTAGCTCTTAGCCAGCATTTCGTATCTACAAAACGATTAACAAACATTAACTAATTCCCCCCATTAATCATTTATATCACTGGTAGCTCAGAGTCTTATCATTTCCTTCAAGAACATTTCCTTCAAGACAGGTGCAATATCCTGTCTGGATCCCAAGTCTCACGTCTAGGGGATGATGGGCCAACATGGCAGCCCTGGATCCTCCTGAGCTCACAGGGGAAGTGGGCCAGAAGGTGGGCACGGGCTCTGTGAGGCTACAACCCCACTAGGATGCCTTTCTGCTCTAATTAACAGGAAGGGCCAGCCACATGGCCAGCCAATGGTAGCTAAGAGGCAATAAGCTTTAATTAGAAGCTTCTTCCTGGAAACTCACATGGTCATAATAAGTCTGTGGTCTTAAAAGGCCCAGAGAGGTTGAATGCCTCAACTCTCTTTTGCTTTTATGAGCTGATCCTTTCAATCGTTTGTGAAATTTAAATATAATGGAAACATTGGCTCTGGACAAGGGCCCTGATTATCTCCTCCTTGCTACAGGGACGGGCAGCCCAAGTGTAAGGTCAGGAAGGCAGCCTGTTTTCTTCCCATCCTAGGCTGTCTGTAAGATTTATGATTCAGAAACACACCACACGTGTGTGAATAAGCTGCCATGGCTGGGACCAACCACAGAACTCTCCCTTAGAGGGGGCCAGTTTGTCTCGGGGAGGACTAGACAGGGAACAAGCCCTCTGCACACCACTACCCAGAGATCCAGGAGAACAAGTGAATAGCTCAAAGCCTCTGTCCTGAGGACTTGGGCTTATGAGTGTATGAAGGTGGGGTGCAAAATTTCTTGAACTACATGATTTGAATTAGAAGAGAAAGCAGAAAGTGACAGGAAGAAGTGGTCTCTGTTTTCCTCCTTGTCTTACCATCACAGGATCGATGTCTTTCTTTCTTGTTAGTGCACGGACACAAACTCATGCTCGCTCCCTGCACACTCTCTCTCCCCAAGAGATCCACTGTGCACGTGTGTCAACTAATGCACGAGGGCTGTCTTCTTGTCCATCCCCTGCCATTCTTCCACTGATGTGGCCTTTTTCTCCATTCTATTCTTCCTGTTCCTTATCTGTGGCTGTATGTAATGCAAAAGCAGGTGCTCGACTCAGAACCATATCATTTATTTATTCCGTGTGATCATAAATAAATAAATGCAGACAGATCATTTTCCATCTCAACTGTTTGGCAGCTCATGGACAGCCTTCCCCTGCATCTCCCCAGCCTCAGCCTCTTCTGTGTGCCTCTCCACACTCCGGATATCTTTGTCTTTTTGCTTGTCTATTAATTCATTCTCACTTCTCGACTTTCTTCCTTTCCTTTTGTGAAGGGAAGAAACCTGGGCCGTGGAATTGCCTGTCTGATCCATGTGTCCAGCTCCGTCATCAGTGAAGCCTGCTGTGCTCTTGCTCCAGGCACAGGCCTGAGGCTGTATATCCATGGACAAGGTGGCTGAAATGGTTGGATCGGCTACACTGGAGCCCAGCTCCAGGGCATACACAGATGGAATATTCTTCTCTTTTCATCCTTACTCTAAGCAAAGATCCTCTGATGATCTCTCTTCCCTTTCCCCTTCTGCTATTTCTCCTCCTTTTCCTTCAAGTGCCTGTCATTTTCTCATTAGGAGACCAACACACACACACACACACACACACACAAATATGCACGTGTGCACACACACACAACCAGCAAGGAGGCATTTGAATGTGGTGATCCTAAAGAGGACCTCAGGGGCAAGGCTGAGGTCTTTAATTAGAGATTGAGGTCTTATCCAAGGCTGAGGTCTTCCCTAGTGCCAGTCACATGGCAAAAGCAAGGCTCTAGGTAGATAAGAAGGTCCAGCATTTTCCTGTGAGTGTCAAGAAGTTACATTGGAGCTAAGATTGCAGTCTCTGCATGGGAAGACACTGGAAAGCAGGGTCTTGAGAAGAGTCTTTTCTCTTCTGGGGTCAGCAAAGCACAGAGCCTTAAATTCATGGCGAGTGCTGGCGGTTTTTTGATGTATGTTTGTTTATTTGTTTTGCCCTTGTCTTTTCCTAGTCTTCAGTAAAATCATATTGAACGTTCCAGCTTATCTTGGTTGTACTCCCAGAGTTTTGACTAGGCTTTTGCCAGGGTTTTAAAGGGTTTAAATATCACCCCTGAGAACAGATGGATGATGGCAGTAGTGATCCATGGGATACTCCAAACAAATGCCAAGTCTCAGAAAAAGGAGGAGGAAGACAGGGAAGAAAAGAGAGAGAAAGGGAGAAAAAGGCTATGAGGTCTTACCACTTCCCACTCTATGAAGTTCTCCTTTTGTGCCCAACCTGGAAGTTCTGAGCTTGTATTAAGGAAAGTGAAATTTCCCTACCTGGTATATTCCCTATCAGACATATAAACTGGTCTGTCCATTTCCCCACCACCTGGTAATTTGATTTTGCAACAAGAAGCCCTACTTCTAGAACCAAGGCAGGAGACTTTACTAGAGAATTCAAATTCTTTGGATTTTTGAAAATTTTATTTGCATACTCATGTTATTATATTACCTGTTGCAACATCACCAGAAATTCCGCTGACGTATGAGGGGCCACTGTCTCTCATCACTGAGTGTTGCTTTTCAGAGATGAAAAAAATTGGAAAGGAAGTCACACAGCCACCATTTGACAAGTTATTTTGTGGGGTGTAGAATTCCTCCCACTGTACCACCATCCCAGCCCTTGGTTCTGGCACACAGGCAATCTCATTCCATATGATATGAGGAGCAGCCCAGTGTTCTGTCTGCAAAGCTCTGGCAAGCTCAAGCAAGGCTTCCCATTACCCAGGTGGGTCATCCATGTGCCACAGCCTATTTGACTTTAGCGTCTGTTATTTTTCCCTCCTGCTAAACACTAAGCCATCCCCTTTATCTCCACATCCCTGGTGTTTGGCTCAAAGCCTGGGACAAAATGGAGGCTCCATGAATTTTTGTAAAATGTTGAAAGAGTGAATGAAAAAGTGAGTCAAAATGGTGCGGCACGGGAAACTATAAACACAAAGCTGAGTAGGAAATTGAGATCAGTAGCTAGAAAATGTAAATAAGGCAAATATATTAATATTTCAGATGATTTCAGAGATTCATTTAATCACTTTACATAGGCATTCAACTTTGTAATTATAGGCAAAGACAAATAAGCCAAGTAGCATAAGCTTAGATTCTAGATTCTCCCCTGCCAATATAATAACAGCAATGACAATAATAACAATAATAATAAATTGCAAGAATGGGCCCTTCAATACACAACATCTAGAAACTCCTTCCCTAGGTCCCGAGCACTGCCAGCACTACTCAGGGAGCTGATCAATTATGTACGCACCCCAGCATGAGTTGCTTAAGGTGTAACCTTGCCACTGCTCTGAGGATCTTACAATGGAACAGAAGAATTTGCTATATCCTGTCACCTCTCTTGCCCCCTGGGGTTTCAGTTGACTATACAATTTTGTACTGTTGAAACTCACAAGAGTCATATAATTTAACATCTGGAAAGGATCTAAAGGATTTCTTTGTCTTCCTTCCTCCCTCATTTTACAGATTAGCAGATTGAATCCCAAAGACATTATGGTTCTACAGCTACCAAGTGGCCAAGTCATGAGTTTTTAACCTCCTATTCTGTTGTTTCTTTGACTGCTCCCTGCCCTTCTTAATCTTGAAAATATTAGAAAATGACTTTAAAGTCTCTGTGTTTATGTTTCTCAATACACTGGAACCTTTGTCCCGAATCCTTACCCTCCAGCACAGAGCCTGGCACACACTGGTTGCTCAGTCACCCTCCAGCACAGAGCCTGGCACATACTGGATGCACACACTGAAATAAATGGAACACATGGCATCCAGATAAATTATTAAATGGATAATAGGCACACTAGAACCTTATATCTCGGCTTGTATTTTCAAAAAGAGGACGGCCCAAGCTCAGCCCAGGGAAGCGGCGTGTTTGAAAAGAGAGTAATGACGGGAGGAAGAAAAGCCAGACCAGCTGGAATATGAAAGAACTGACCAATTGGAAAGGACCTTCAGGAGCATATAGAGAATATAAATCTTACATTCTATATGCAAAAATTAAAAATTAAACTTAGCTCTTTGGAAAACCCATTTCCGTCAATGGCAAACAGCTTAATCTAACTAATTTAGAGTAAACTCTGACACTTGGCAATTTTTTCCTCCCTTTTGGATAGATAATCAGATAATTCAGAATTGTTCTTCTCTCATTCTCCATATCATTCCTCTGAAGTGTAAGTAAACATGGGAAGGCTTCTGTATCATCCTAGTATTGGAAGAGCCATCTACTCCCTTCTCCACTGAGACTCACTCCATGTTGGTCTCTGGTCATGGGCCCAGCCTGAGTGTGACTGAAGGAGTCCTTGCTGGCAGGTCATTAGGTCCACACAGATCACTCTGTCTCCATCCACAGGACCTCCAGGTCTGCCCACACCCTCTCGACCACCTCTGGGCCCCTCTCAGGGCGACACTGAGACCCTCAAAGCTCTCCTATGCTTCTCTGGGTTCCCAGGCCCTATCTGCCAAGGGCTCCCCACTGCCCTCCTCAACTCCCCTGACTACCAAAGCGGTCCAGTGCTAACTTGGGGCACACAGGTCATCTGGTTCCCAAGCTCCCTCAACCTTTCTGGTAAAGTCTCAGGTAGGGAATGCACCCACCTTGTTGCTCCTGCAGGGCCCCTCTCATGCTCTCCTTGTCTATTTCTCTCTGCTCCCAGCCCACAGGGTCTGTTCCACATCACTGCACATTCTGCCTCACTCTGTGACTTTTGACTACAAATCTAGGTTTTGGGGCCTATCAATTCTTGGTTCCAGATATTCAAAGTTTAGCTTTTTAGACTCAAGGATGTAATTTCACTCTCAAATAGTCCATATCTTACTGCTAAAAATCTGTATTTTCAAGTGTATCTGCCCTCCCCAACCCAAAGTAGTGTGCAGAAAAAGCACTAGCGGCTCTCTAAATGGAGGGAAATGAAGGATTGGGTCTGCAAAGCTCAGGAAAAAGAAACCTCAGGCGATGTTGCAAAGCATCACCATATTTTGAGTCGTAATTGTCATAATAATGAGCTCATTGTAGTGCCACATCCCCAGACTCTAGTTGTCCAGCTGTCTCTAGCTAAAATAATCACCAGAGAGAGGTATCAGTGCCCTTTTATAAAGGTCTTTATGGAGAAAATTTCCATGACAGTTATGATGGGAGATAAAGAACTCAAAATATTTTAAAATTCTGATGTTCCATTAAATACCCAACCCTTTTTGGTATCGATTGTAGTCCTGAGTCAGATTCAGAGCTTGTAGAACTCTAGGTAAATCCTTTAGTTTTACACCAAATTATCTCCTGGCAAAAGATGATGACTGAAGACAGGATGCAGAGTGTGTTCTGATTCATTTTTGGAAAGCACCACTTGTGTCTTTTTCCTGCACAAGGTCCCCATCATCTGTAGAATAAAGTTTGGAGACCTTGGAGCTGGACCCTCTTTCTCTGGCCCCAACCTGCCTGCCCAGCCTCTAAGTCCAACAACTGGGCTCAACCAGATCCATAACCTGTCCTCTGAATGGGCCAGAGATGGCCATCACCCTGCCCTAATCCCATCTGTTCATCAAGCACCATCACAAATCTCATTTCATCTCCCTGAGGCATCTGTGAGTGCTTCCTATGTTTAAACTGCACATTTGGCACTAACTGGCCTTAAATTACCTGCTGCTCATGACTTCTCATGTAAAACAATTTTATTTTAAGTAAAAGTCTATGTTTTGGGCAGAGTCTAGCAACTCTTGCTTCAGCCAACACACATGAGAATGTGTTCCTGCTAATCTAGATGGTAAATTCCCTGAGGACAGCACACCTCGGTGAAAAAAATTTTGGAGCCACAAACAGCATCCACCGAACTCAACCTCTCTGAGCATTGGTATTTCTCATTGCAAAATAGGAATCATTATAATGCCAACCTTATAGGGATGGGTTTAGACTCAGTGAGACAACCTATGTAACACACTGGCACAAGAAATGTTCAAAACAAGCTAATTCTCTTCCTTCTTTCCCATCAAGTTCTCTATTTCCTCCTCTTCCTCTTCTCAGCCTTCATTCACCAAAATGGGTCCTGCTAACTCACATGATGGTACAATGCTCAAAATAATATGTGCATCATAAAGATGGGCTCAGTGTTGGATGATGAATGGATGAATTAATTAATAAGACTAAATGAAATGTAAGGATTGCTCCGTCACCCACGCCTGTTCCCTGTTCCACATTTGGTCTCTACAAGGATGGCCTCACCCAGCCTTGGGAAGCCTCCTGACCACTGTCTGGAGCCCTGACTCTTCTTTGGCCATTTTTCTAAGAAACGCTTAGCAAGGACCCTACACTGGGCTTCAGTTTTCTTGATAGTGAAATCCAGGATGTATGTAAGGAAGGATAGTTGGCTCCATGCTCAAGGATGGTGTGTCCTTCAGAAGGAACTGGCAGGATTTCTATCAGAACCCCATTCCCTTCTGCTGCAAGTGTGCCAGGGTCTTCTGGCCTTTCTAAGCAGTGACATGAAGTCCATGGTGAGCTGACTTGGTTAGCTGGTCCTTCCCCAGCTCCACCTCCGACCCATGATGCAGAGAAGTCACCATAGCAACTCACCATACTCCATTTCCCCTTCCAGGAGGGGACAGAGAAACAACAGCAACCAAAGCCTCTCAGCCATTCCAGGTGTTATCATGACCCAAGCTGGGCATTTATTTTCTGGGTCTGAAAACACCAGGTATCTGCCGTAGAACTTGGGTGGCTGTCTTAGACACATGTATCTGAATAGCCTCCCTTTCGTTAATCTCTAACCATGAAGGATTCTAATTCAATGTAGAATATTAGTACAGTAATATTCAGATTTTCCCCATTTTGAATCTGTGTTTATAGCCCATAATAATAAGGAACTGTGAGGTTGGGTGACACTTTAAGGACTTAGATTTAGTTTGGTGAGAGCATTGAAGGGTTTTGTGATCTCACTCCCAAATGGGAGGAAGAAAGAAGTCTCCTAGAAAAGGGGATGCCACCTCATGCCCATGTTACTTCAGTTTCCAGCTATAGTATTATTATATATTCTCTCAATGCTCTCAAACAGAATGAAATCTGGGTTCCTCGATGTGTTTTTAATAACTTTTCTGAAGAGATGGCTGAGTCTGAATTGTTGACTCAAATTGTATCAGCTTTCCAAGAATCTTGCTTTCAGAGGTGAGAATGATGAATTAAAGAGTTACTTACTTGGATTTTTAAAATGTGTCCATCACTGAGGCCCCTGGGCTTGTGTACAAAGATTAAAAGGTACTATTCCCCCAGGAAGATAGACTGAATCACCTGTATACATGCCAAGACAACTACAGTCTAGGTAGCCATACAGTCCTGGCCTACAGATCCAGAAGTGGTGGTACTCCAGCAAGCTCACCCAGCTAGAAGACATGTCTCAGTAGAAGCAGAGCTCTCATGAGGGTGTGAGAGATGAGGCCAGGTGATTTCTACCTACACTTTCAAGTCAGGAGACAGACCTCTCTGGGGCTGAGGGCTGTGAGCTCAGAAAGGCGCCACTCCATGGAGAAGGCTATGCCTCCAGTTCCCTAGATATGCTGTTATCCAAGAAACAGCCCAGCTGTCATCGGTGAAGGCCCCTAGGAAGAAGGAAGCCAAAGTGGGTTCTGTGGTTCCAGAGAAGAGACATTCCCAGAGCCATTGATTTATGTTAGTGCATACCCCAGGCTCTGCCTGAGAAGAGAAGAGATCCCTGAAACCCACATTCTTAGAAAAAGGTTCTAGATAGCCATTATGAGAGAGAAACTGGGGCTTGCCCACTTTTACTGAGGACTCCTGGAGAGAGGAAGAGGCAAGTACAAAGGGAAGGGAAGGAAAATGGAAAGGGAAAAGCAGCCAGGCAAGTCATGGATGTTGATGAAAACATTCCCAGAAACATCTTCCCCTTCCTTCCACACACAATGGTGGTGATGTGATGGAAATACTAGATGGGGAGTTACTGTTGTAGCAACCCATGTAAATGGGAACCAATGGAAGAGAAATTATATATGCCTTGCATTTCATTCAATGTTTTTTCTGTTTGTTTGTTTGTTCATTTGTTTGTTTGGGAGTGGGGATTGTACCTGCTATTTGCTGGCATCAAACTAGGTGCCGGGCAATATAAATATGAAGGCAATTAAACCAAGTTTTCTGGCCTTAAAGAGCTCAGTACAGTGGATAAGACAGATAAAGAAGGGACTACAATATAGTGAGGTGAATGAGACGCAGTGCTGTGGAAATGGGGGAGGATGCAGTGACTGTGTGAAGGATGATAATACAACAAAGCCACAGAGTGAGTGCAGAACAGAAGAGCACAGACATTCTACTCATCTCCTGGGATCCATCCAGCTCCATGACACCTCTCCAAACTCTCCTTCCCTCTCCCCAGGAGCACTGATAGATTCCCGTAACTGTGGACACACCCCTCTTAGGAGGGTCTTTCCACACCTTGTCACACATTTAACCCTCTGCCTCCTTCTAATATACTGTCAGCTCCTTGTATGCAAGAACCATGTTTTCTTCATGTTTGCCTCTTTAGCACCTAGAATATTGAAGCTGAATACTATGTGCCAGATTGTGAGTTGCTAGTGTTTGTTGGCAGGAAAGAAAGAAGGAAGGAAGGAAAAAGAGAAGGAAGGAAATGAATTTCTCCAACTTCCAGAACTTCTTCCCATTACCTCCCGTCCTTCTCCTGTATTTGGCTCCTTTTTTGTTCCATCCAGTAACTCCTTCTTTCCCCCTGTTCTCTTCGATTCTTCCTGCCCACCACCCATCAATCCATTCCGGAGCCCTCCCTTTCACTTTCCATCCTTTGTCTTCCTTTCTCTGTTTCTCCTCCAGGTCCTTCCCTTTTTCCACTTCTTGTCTGACCCCCTAAGCCTTTGTGTCCTTTCTCCATCCTTCTCTCCCTAATTTCCCATTACTTGGGGCAGGGTCAGAGGTCTGCTATGGCTCATGAGGAACAATGAAGTGATGAAAAAGGATGGGCTAAAGATTATTTGTTTCAAAGACAGTCGAAGGAATGGTGACAGCTTTCAAATGGGGCATAAACCAAGTTAAGCCTTCAGTCAATAAACAAAGAACCAGGACCTCCAACCAGATAGCGGTTGTAGATATAGGCCACAATATACAAGGATCACGTGGCCAACCAGTTTTGAGGGTTTCCAGCCCAAAGCAGAAGTCCTGGGAGAGCCTGTGCCCCACTGAAAAAGACCCTACATGGTGACCCCAAATTGCAGACCCCACAGGGATCGCCTGTCCCAGCCTTACAACTTGGGAAGCCCTAGCACCAGAGAGATTAAGTGACTTACCCAAGGTTACATAGCAAGTCACAGCTGAGTCAGAACCACAGCTCAGCTTCTCCACTGCTGGCCCAGTGTTTTCCCACTATAACGCATTGCCTGTAGCTCCAGCAAATGCATTTCCTACGCGCCAGGATTGATGCAGCCAGCATACAGGGAGTCATTCTTCCTGCTGAGAAATGCATCCAGTTATGGGGAGGAAGGTGACAGCTGTTTAATAGCAGCTCTGTGGGATGGTTCTGGACTTGGAATGTGGAATATTATCTCCTGCTAATGCATTAGCAGAGACGAGGGGAAACAGAATGTAATTACCCAAACGGCTGTTTTTCCCGGATACTAAAATGAATTCTCCCACCCTGGTGAATAATGTGGACGGTCTTTAACAATTGGTTTATGCCCCATCTGAAAGCTGTCACCACTCCTAATAGCACAGGGACCTGTCTTGCCAGTCAGGGGTATTGATTTGAGACTGCGTCGGCGATCTGCTCGTGGATTCATCAGCTTCCTGAGAGAGACGCCCCAAAAAGGAAGATCCAGGGGGACTTTGCTGCTGGACTTCTGACAGCATGGCCTCGGGGCCTCCCTCAAATATGCCCATGCTTCTCTGCATCTCTGCATCTCTGCATCTAGCTGAGCCCTAGCAGTTTATGTGGTTTCAGGCCCATGACCAGGGGTGGTGGGAGGGTCCAATCCAAAGTGAAGATTTAGAGAAATACCCCATTCTTAGGAGAACCCAGAACAAGTAAGCTTCTGACCACTCATCTTTGCACAAACCTCATAGATAAATACCAACTAGAAAGCACATAAATTAAGTATAATTAATTCATCTCATCAACCTAGAAATAACTTCTCTTCTAAATGTCTGTGGGCTTTTATTTTTTACCACCATTATGGCCCTTATGCTTCACCACAATTCCTAGTTATTTGTGCTCCTGTCATATCTGCCCTAAGACTGCAACTCTTTGAGGATAAGAGTCCATGAATCATTTCTGTATTCTCACATCACCTAACACCTACCACAGAGCTGTACACGGGAAAGATGCCCAATAAATCAAATCTCAACATGAAGTCATTGACAAACACATGGCTTCAGAGGAAAGAATCCATCGTGGGCAGGACGAGCCTTGTGTCAGGAGCTCTGGGCAATGTGCTATCTCTGCACTTCCTGTCTCCAGAGGTCAGAAGGCTACACAGAGGCTAGACCAGGGACAGGAGAGGATTAGCTGACCAAGGGCAGGACAGCAGTGCATTATCCAAAAAGAAAGGAAATGGAGTCCACTCAGACTAAATAAGACCTGGGACCCAGAAGCCTCACTCATGGCTGTGAAGACTCTTCCCAGAGAGGGAAGGGCCAGGACTGGGAAGGCCAACTGTGCCAGAAAAGCCATGAATCATGGCTTGCAATCTTGGCCCTTAGGAAGAAGGAAACCAAAGTGGGTTCTGTGGTCCCAGAGAAGAGACATTCTCAGAGCCATTGATTTATTTTAGTGCACACCTCAGGCTCTGCCTGAGAAGAAGAGAGATCCCTGAGACCCACATTCTTAGAAAAAGGTTCTAGATAGCCATTATGAGAGGGAAACTGAGGCCTGCCCACTTCTACTGAGTACCCCTGGAGAGAGGAACAGCTTTCAGACTGTGGAAACGTCATGGTCTGGATGTGAGAAGGAAATTGGAATGCAGGTCAGGTCTTCTTCTTCTCAGTGATGAGGAAGCATCTGGACAAAGCCCAAAAAGTCTTAGGCACCACCAAAGGGCCGTGCTGCTTAACTGTGTTAGGTGGAATTATCTTCAAGACAGAGACAGGAGGGAAGCAGGCAGCAGACCACCACCCAGCTAACAAGACTGCCAGCCCGGGAACAAGCTGCATGGTGCTGGCCGCCTTCTGGGAGATGAGTGGCTGAAGCAGCCCATTCAAAGGCTTTGGGAGCCTTTATGAATCGAATCTCTGGAAGTCCAGCTAGAGTGTCTATTGATCCCAAAGTCACCTTCAAGTGGAACAGCCATAAATTACCAGTCAGCTTTTATTATGTGAGAGATTTTCAAATTCTAAGCCTGACTTTCTCCTTTTTTATTATCCTAATGAAATACCATGACTTGGCCCAGTCTTAAGAAAGCACCCAGTGAAGAAGGAACAGGATTTCTGAGCTAATGGACTCAAGTCCTCACTGAGAAGTCCTGGACACCAACCCTGCCAGGAACCCTCCTCTGTGTGGGAGACAATCTGGAAGCCAAATCACACAGATTTGATGGAACTTAAAGTGGGTGGAGGTGTGGACCCAGAAGTATGGAGGAGACCTGGGCCACCCTGAATAATACCCTCTTCAAGGGAGGGGCATTGGCCGCAATGCAAACCTTGACTCCATCCAGGAATGACACTAGTCCCAGCTGGTTTGTGTGTGGATGCTGCAGTGTTAGTTTTTCTAAAGGCTCCTTTACATTCTGGTTTGGGTCATCCTTTTAGATATACCTAGAAGATTCTCTTTTTTAGTTTTTTTTTTTAATTACCATAGCAAGAACACTTCACATGAGATCTACCTTCTTAACAATTGTTGTAATGCACAACACGGTATTTTTAACTATAGGCATAATGTTGTACAGCTGATCTCTAGATATACCTAGAATATTCTTAATTGTACAACTCTTAGTGGAAAAATCCTGTGCTGAACCATTTATTACTCCCCAAACATTTATTAATCATTTACGAACGTATATAATAGGGAATTGTTGGTCCTCACAGAGCTGGTAAGGTAGTAAGGAGGAAGGATCTATGACAACTCATTATAAGGAAATTAAGTACCCTCATGGGGGAAGCTGTGGAAGCAGAGAAGTGAGCATGTGATTCCAAATGGGAGAAAATATATCAGTGCCTGCCCCTCACTGAGACCACAGTTTATTTTCTGGAGGTGCAGATGAGATGCTGTACAGAAAGGTGGGCATTTGCAGGCAGAGTAAATCCATGTCCAAGTAGAACTGGCAAACAATCAAATTCCCTGACACTGGAGCAAACTTAAGATTGACAAGCCTCCTCTACAGCACTTGGGAGAACTTGCTGTCAATCAGTCTGCTTCCTGGGGGCCACATGCTGGGAAACTTTTGTTCTTATTTGGAGACAAACAAGATGGAGAGCCTTAGACTGAACCATAGGCCCAATCACTAACACTCTGTGTGAGGCTTAAATATTTATGTGAGATTTTCTCCATATTTACTTCTACCTGATGTTTTCTCCATCTTTACTTTTCAGCTAAGGCCAGAACATTTATTAAAAATTACACAATTTGATCACCTTTTTCAGTCATCATTCAGAGATTTAAATTTCTAAATAAAGAAGGTAAAATATCTTAAGAGGACAGCATTGCCTTTTCCAAAGAGTGGAAGGCCTGTCTTGGTTCAGTTATTGTTTTAATACATTTGCAGATTTTCTTGCATGAAATGTTCATGACACACAAAGCAACTTTATAGGTACTCCTGACAAACTCAGTACCATATTGGTTATGGACTCTGGTTCTGCAAGCTGACGTTCTGGGCTCGAGTCTCCTTTCTGCTGTTTACCATCTGTGAAAACTTGGTCAAGTCTTTTGCTTCTTCTCTTAGCCTCTTGTTAATCTGTAAAATAGTGGACCAAATGGGATATTGCACATTATGTTTATCAAAGTGATTAGTACACAGGGAGATTTTACTTTTGACCCAGGAAAGGGCCAAGCCAGTGAGATATTATTAAGCATCTCTGAAATCGAGAGTATAGTTTTTGAGATACAACCTCATCTACCATATGCAAGGGAATAATCCTTTCCTCCTACCCCTCCAGGAAGATCATAGCTTAGTTCAGGGCCCCTACCTCCTGCAAGGTCAGCCTGCAGATTCTGCAGGGGGAGCATTGACATGAAAGAGATGCTAGGTCAAATCCCACCTGGAGCTTGGCATTTGACATGGGAGACCAGGAATATTCCAATGGACAGACAGGTGGGGGAGATGGGGCCTCAGGTTTGCCACAGCACCCCCACTATGACCAGGAGGACAGAATGAGAATTAACTCTGGCTGTGGTTTGACCCTAAATAACAAAGGCATCTGCCGTGAAAGTTTGCCATGACTGCTGAGATTTCAGGAATAATATAACTGGCCTTTCTAGAAGCTAGAAGCGGTGGTATGATGTGCTGTGTCAAGGAATAAAGAGCCCACTTCTCCCTGGAAGAGTCACAGATGTCTTCAAAGATCAGCGTGAGCTGAGCCCTGCCAGCGGGGGAGAAAATTGGGACAGTGAGATGTGCAGGGTATTCCAGATGCCAGGACAGTGATAGTGGTCATGAGGAGGAGATGAGGGCAAAGAACTAACTAGTGTCTGCATTGTCACCACTAATCATTGCTGACTCATATTTAGTCCTAGTGAAGGACCAAGCTTTGCATTCAGCATTTAAATGGGTTAGCTCGTATTCCTCACTATAACCCATGTGGTAGCTCATCCCAATTTTGGAGACAGAGAACCTAAAACTCAGAGGCGTTCGTTATAGCTGATATGTAAGAGCAGAAGTGAGTACCATGGCCTGGTTGAATCTTCGCACTCAGTTGGATGGGAAAAAGCCTGTGGTTTACTCACAAACTACCTGTGAGTAGTTTGTTGTGGCTGAAGCCCCAGAGGGTGGGACTTGGGGGTCTCTGAAGATGTGGAGCAGTCATGGGCTGGATGGGGAAGCTTCATTTACTGAGGGTTTAGCTCATGCCCAGGAACCTGGAGAATTCTTTAACCCTGGCTGAACTCAGGTGTCTCCTTCTCTGTCCAAGACAGCTCAGAATAAACAGCACCCTGCAGCTGCACAAGAGCCCTGCTGTGTGCAGGGCCCAGATGGCACGCTTGATTTTCTTTATTTATTTGGATGTCATTTTCAGTGTGATTGAGTGATTCCACCACCCCAGTGGGTCTGCTCAGTCTCCCATCCCAAAATCAGGCAGGAGTGGAACAAGTTTGAGGTTTCTGAAAGATACTTATTTATTAATTGGGCCAACTCTGACTAAGCAGCTTTTACTAAAATCTAGAACCAGAGGCAGCAAAGTGCGGAGAAGGGTACACTCAGGGCATTCCATTGTACTGTAGTGAGAATATTACTTAATTTTCTAACAGTTTCTTCCCTGGGACTTTTTTTTTTCCAAATTAAATCTGATGTGGAGAAGGAGTATAGCATAGAGGTTAAGAATGTGGGTTAAGAGTCAGACTGCCTGAATTCAAATCCAGGTACCACCCTCACTAGCCGTGTAAGCTATAGAGTAAGTTATGTAACCTCTCTGAGCCTCATTTTCCTCATCTGCAAAAAAGAAGTTAATAATACTATTTACTCTTAGGATTTTAAGGAGATAAAATGAGTTAATACTTGCAAAATGTCAGCATACAACCTGGCACATATATAGTCCTCAGGAAACGTCAGCTATTATTGCTCTGCGGAACAGACACAATCAGAAGGGCCCAGGCTGCATCAGGACAGAGGGGCCTTCAGATTCCACCCATGCTCCCATGCAGGCTCCTTGGACCTCGAGGGGCCTTGGGCAGGTGTCTAACAAGTGCCTCTTCAGGAGGGAGCCTTGATTTTACCATTTGCCAATTTCTGTAGTGTAAATATTCCCATGATGGCTGATTATAAGATACCACTGTGAGGTCTCCAGATGTGGAATTGGGAAGAGATGCACACAATTGGCTCCAGCGTGCTACTCTGGGAGCCTAGGTGGAAGCCAGAGAGTCTTAGGTGTCCTTGTCAGCTCTGGCTTTGTATATCCTAACTCAGGGTAGCCTAAACATTGGAGTTAAGCTCCCCACCAATGTTTGGCAGATGTGAGGAAATGGACAGAGTGTGGAGCAAGCAGAAAAGAGTTTGGAGAGTTCAGGGTGTTAGGTTTTAATGCCTGACCTAAAAGGCAGCACTTCTGACAGTTCAGTGACTTTTAATTAGATGAGATCGAATCAGCAGAACTGCTTCCTGTAGCTAAAAGTCTTTCCCTTCCAGTGCAGCCATTCAGTTACTGCTAGGGCCCATTGGGCAACACGCCTCAGCCGAGGGATGGGATAGTGGCATAAGGACATGCATTGCAGAGACCTTCAAGGACAAGTGGTGTGTGTGTGTGTGTGTCTGTGTGTGGTGGGTGTGTATGTGGTGTGTGTGTTAGCAGGGAGCATAGGCCAGGATGGACTGAAAGTCTTGGGCTTAGAAACTCAGGAATTACCCTCGTAGAAAGTGACCTGAGAACCAGAGAAATTACATAAAAACAGCACTGGAGTGGGAATGTGGGGACCTGGGTTTTAGGCCCAGTGCTGCATGACTTTGTTTTCCCAGCTGAAAATAGGAGAATCAGGATGCCCACCATGCCTTCTTCACAGGGGTGTTGTAGAATCAAAAGACATCTCATCTGTGAATGCACCACACAAATGGAAGAGGTTAATCTCTACTCAACTGTGAAGTAGCTAAATGCTCATGAGTCGGCCAAACACCTTGGAAACCAATCAGTTGCTAGGGAAGGTATCAGGTATCCATTCTTGTCACAAAGAAAAGTGGGCTGGCCGGGCGTAGTGGCTCACGCCTATAATCCCAGCACTTTGGGAGGCCGAGACAGGTGGATCACGAGGTCAGGAGACTGAGACCATCCTGGCTAACACAGTGAAACCCCGTCTCTACTAAAAATACAAAAAATTAGCCAGGCGCGGTGGCAGGCACCTGTAGTCCTAGCTACTTGGGAGGCTGAGGCAGGAGAATGGTGTGAACCTGGGAGGTGGAGCTTGCAGTGAGCCAAGGTCGTGCCACTGCACTCCAGCCTGGGTGACAGAGCGAGACTCCATCTCAAAAAAAAAAAAAAAAAGAAAAAGAAAAGTGGGCATGTGGTAAGAGTAGTCATGGCCTGGGACTGGAACCAGAAAGCTACATGTGCCAGGAAAGCAGCTCTTCATCTTGCTCCTCAAAAGAGGTGAGAGCATCTCTTAGGTATCATGCCAAAGCCTCTGGGTTTTAGCTTCTCTCTCTCTCTCTCTCTCTCTCTCTAAAACTGGGACATTGAGAAGAAGGATGAAGAAGGATGGTCTCCGGTGCACGATGCCATGGCTCCCATTGGGTGCTGCTCTGCTCTCCTGCCTTCTCTGATGAGCATGGCCCAGAAGGGCTGCCTTGGCCCCAGATCCACCCCAGGATCATTCAGCTCAACCCTCACAGACACCCAGCACTATCCCAGTCTTGAATTCTGAAGAAAGGAATCTGATGGGCCCAGATCTGGCTTTTGAGCAAGGCCACATGCATCTTAGGTTGTTGGCCAGCTTGTGAAAGCGCTTCCCTTCTATCACAGCCAGGAAGGAGTCACGCAGCGCAGAGACCACAGGGCCACCTAAGACAGGGAAGACTCTGTGAGGAGTCAGGACAGGAAACAGCCACAGTTGGCCTCTCTGGAACATCCTGTGCTCCTCAGACACTTCTACAGTCTTTTCTTAGCCCCTTAAAGACAAAGAAATGAAATTCTGAAAGACCTTATGGCCAGCACATGAGACTACACTGAAGGTCATACAAAAGCTATAAAAGTCAGTGAAAGGCTGGTCTCAGGTGTTTGAGCTGCCAAGTGACAGAAATGCCCCAGCCTCAGGCTCTCTTGTGCTTAAGGACCAAAGGCTGTCCTTTGTTAAAAGTGTCAGCTATGTCCATTTATCTTCCTACCTTTGAGTCTCAACATCCTAATCAGGCAAAACAAAGTACCAAGGTTTTCCTTAT